>NC_000003.12:124311634-124463149 GCF_000001405.40 Homo sapiens | reverse complement strand
GACTTGTGAAGTTTTAGGGCTCTACAATTCTACTTATTCCAACAAAACAGAGTATCGGTTGATATCCTTCCCTCCAAACTGTCAAGAAATGTGAAATAAAATGAGGATGGAGGAAATATTTAGGTTGATAGAAAACTTCAATGGAATTCAAAACCTAAAGATCACAAGGTGGAATGGTTAGCCTCAGATGAATTCTAACGTCAGGATTTCCCACAAGATTTAATGAGGAGAAGCTACTTTTATTTCTTCAAAGCCTGCTATTCATTCTGGCTGAATAAATGAGGATGTTGAGGAGAGATGGGGAGGAGCACTGCTGAATACTTGACTTTACTCTCCACTAGGACTTTCGGACAATTATGGAGAAAGGGGAGTGAGTAAAAAAGAAGTCTGACAGCAACTGCCTTAGAAAACTGACCAGATAAGATTCACCAATCGCCTTTGATCCACTTCTTGGGAACCCTGTTGTCTGGTTTTTACGGCCTAAGTGTGCACCTCTGAGACCCTCCACAAACCTACTTGTTATGGAAATCGTAGATCTCTTGGATGTTGCCAAAGATGATATGCTCTTTATTGAGGATCCCAGGGGGGATCTCCTCCACACCACTGGTCATTTCCCACAGGTAGGTCTGTAAGACAGTAACAGTTTCATCACTGGCAAGTCTGGCAGGCCATATAAAATACAGACAAAATACACAGGTGCTCAAACTTGTGGGGCAAGACTCAAACTGTAAATGCGTGCAGAGTTTAAAAAGTGACGTGTTAAGTAAACATAAGAGAAAGAAATAAAACCTGAATATTTCATTATCCTGAACTTTAGCAAGAACACAAACTCCACAGTCTCTTGTCATTTATTAAATGTGTGTGGACTTTTATGGGGGTCAGGATGCAGATTTTCAGACCCAATTTAAGTTCACTGACTGTGTCATGGTTTTATTTTGAATTGAAGTGCCTTACACACTTCTTGTTCCTGGGTCTAGCTCCAGTCTGAGAAAAGTTTAAACTTTCTTTTCAAAAGTACTTTAAACTCTCATGTAATTATTGTTGACTTTAGGAGAAAGATTTCCTCTTGTTGACTTTTTAATTCATTACTCTCTGGGAGAAGACCAATAGCACCAAATTCCAATTGAGGACTTGATGCTGGCAAGGATGTCATTTTTCCAATATAGCTGTGAACGGATTACTGGAAGACTCACCTCTAAGCACTCATGCAAATCCCTTACATAAGCCTTCTCTGTCTGGAGTAGTTCAGCCATAATAAATCTAGAAGGAAACAAATGGGCTTTTACTTGGATATAGATATAATGTCTCTCCTCCTTCAAACTTCACTTCCCCACCCCAGCATGTATGACATTCTTAAATGTCTTATTTTTCTACTTCATCAACAGGTCTTTTCCTTTCTTCAAAATTCCTTCCCTTTCCTACAAGTATCTTCCTATGATACTTGTGATATTTCCTGACCATTGGCCCTGTAACCCTTTAGCAGGTTTGTGCTCAGCTAGGTCCATATTCTCTCTCCCTTTTCCACCCCAGTCCTACTATTAATACTTGTGATTCTGTGGTGATATTCATGTGAGTACAGGCATGTAGGACTGTTCATATTCTGTCTCACCAACTAAACTAGATAGCTTGAATCTCAGCTTTCCACATTTCTCCTACAGCTCCCAGAATGAAGATTTCTGTTCAGTAGAGTTTGTAGATATATACCAAAACAGTTCTTAGTATCATAATAAACCAGGTTTCAAAGCCAGGAAAAGAGGTCCAACACACCGAGATCAGGGGTTAGCAATTTTTCTATAAAGAGCCAGATAATAAATCTCTGTGGGCAATTCGGTCTCTGTCACAACCACTCAACTTTGCTGTTGTCATGTGAAAGGAGCCATAGACAATGTGTAAAAAAAAATAAGTGTGGCTGTTTTCCAATAAAAACATTTATGGACACTAAAATTTGAATTTTATCTAATTTTCACATTATAAAATATTCTTCTTTTGATAATTCTTCCAATTATTTAAAAATATAAAAGATAATTTTTAGTTTATAGACCATATGAAATAGTTGGTAGGTCAAATTTGGTCTATGTTTGCTGACCTCTGACCTAGATTATCCTCTCAGCTATTTCAGTACTATTTCCAATGGGACTTGTTTACAGCATAAACGGATGTGTAGAAAACTGAACGTGCAACCATAAGCACAGTATAAATTAGTAATAAGTGACTGCTTCTCAGTCCCCCATAAAGAGAAGTCTGTGTTATGCATCTTTAAAGAGAGGGTTCTCTTCCTCCTTGGGCCTCTAAATAATACAATGTGCTTAGACAATTGTTAAACTTACGATACATGGCCTCGTTGTGGTATATTCTATATTTTTCTGTTCTTTGAATTGAACTCTATTGGTAGAGTAAAAAGTGCATAAGCTTTGGAGTCAGACAGATAGGAACTGAATTACAACCAGAGGTAGGACTTGCCTCTCCAGGTCTCAGACTCCTTACTTATAAAATAGCTGATCACACAGAATTGCTGCAAGTATTAAACAAGATCACGTAAGCAACATGCCTAGTGCATGGTAGGTGCTCAGGAAACATTCCATGATTAAATGAGCTGTAGATTGCGATGAAATGAGGACAGAAGGGAGATCAGAAGGAACATAAACTGACGGCCTTTGAGAACTTGCCTTTGATTTTATTGCCTTAAGTTTTCTAGAATTGTTCTTTTGTTCTCATCCGCTTCCTGCAGTTTTACCTGTCTTTCCTCACAATTTACCTCTGCTATCCCCACCCCATTTTATTTTCCACCCATCCTTTAATCTCTTCTGGCTATTTGTTGTCACAGAAGGAACCAAGGAGGAAGATCTGGCCAGGTATAGTCCCCTCATCCCCCTCCCAGATATGGGCTGAATTATGACGCCTCTGAAATTCATATGCTGAAGTCTTAACCTCCAATACCTCAGATTTTGGTCTTATTTGGAAACAGTATCACTGCAGTACTGGAGTAGAGTGGCCCCTGGATCTAACAACTGATGTCCTTACAAAAGGAGGAATTTTTGATACAGGCATATATTCTGGGATTATGCCACGTGAGCACGGAAACAGCCATCTACAAGCTATCAAGGAGAGAGGCCTGGAACAGACCCTCCCCTCACTGCCCTCAGAAGGAATCAACCCTGCTGACACCTTGAGTTTAGGCTTCTAGTCCCGAGAGCTGGGAGACAATACATTTCTGCTCTTTAAACAACCCAATTTGTGGTACTTGGTTACAGCAGCCCCAACAAACAAATCCACTCCCCATATGAACAAGCTCTGATTCACACAGCAGCTTTAGTTTCTTCATCTCCAAGGAACCTGTGGTCCTACTTCATCTTGATAAAATAAACTATATAGAGCTTCTTAATCTTAGGACATACTATTTTTTTCTAGTAATTCACAAACAGAGTGTCAAAATATTCTTTATAAAGTCCTCCAGAAATCTCTAGATATGTGTTACTTTGTAACTCCAGCATAAAGGAAGCAGTGTCAAGAAATGGTTTATAAGATTGGTACGGTTCATTGTTTACCCTGTCCAATGCTCTGTAATTCTTGATTAGAGTGAAATGTTGGTAGACAACTCCCTACCAAACAACCAAAGAAGAAAAATGTGTTTTGCCTACCTGGAGTCAGGACTTTTCTGAAAGTGGAGCTGAGATACTTAGAGAGCAAAGCAGGAATCTAATGATAAGTTGGTTCCAGCTCACTAAATGAATTCTGGCCCCTATTCATTCTTATTCTGAGAAAACAGAGTTCAATTTATGAAAACCTCAGCTACTTCAGATTCTTGCAAAATGTTTGAATCTCAGCATCCTCTACTCTCTTCTTGCCTATTTTCCTCTGCCTCATCTCCTCATGGGCTATTGCTGACCTAGGAGTAAACTTAGGTGGCAGCTTTACATTCTAACATCTACAATTCACTCACTGGACCAATTTCCAAGCACCTCTTTCTTCCTTTTGAAATCTGAATACCTAGAGCAAGTCAGGGGAGGAGGGCCCATCTGATGCTGGAATGCCTCCTAAAGCATGCCTTATTTTCTTCTGGCCCAGTGGTATATCCCTCAACTTCAAGTAAAGAAATTGATGTTACAGTCCTTATTTGTTTTGTGATTTTAAATAACGTCCTGCCCTTCCCTCAAGGTTTCAATTTCTATATCCAATTATATTCCATAAGATTTTCTTTTCCTTTCTTTTTTATTTTGAGATGGATTCTTGCTCTGTTGCCCAGGCTGGAGTGCAGTGGAGCAATTTTGGCTCATGGCAACCTCTGCCTCCTGGGTTCAAGGGATTTTCATACCTCAGCCTCCTGAGTAGCTGGGATTACAGGTGCACACCACCATGCCCAGCTAAGTTTTGTATTTTTTTTTTAGCAAAGACAGGTTTTTGCCATGTTGGCAAGGCTGGTCTTGAACTCCTGGCTTCAAGGTGATCTGCCCACCTCAGCCCCCCAAAGTTACAGGCATGAGCCACTGTGCCCTGCCTGACTATAAGCTTTTCTTGATCAATAATTATGTTATCTTCATTTTTCTGCTAGTCCCTTGATCCATACTACAGAGTATAAAATACTTCTTGTTTTCAAGGAGTCTACAATCTAGCTAGGGACATATGCTTAAGAATTGGCTGAATAAGTAAAATGGGAATCAGTACAGAAGTAAAGGAGTTCATAAAAGGATGGGCCAATGACAGTGGGGGCTGTAGATAAAGGATTTATAGAGGCATAGGATATGAGCTGGATTTTAAAGAATCAATAGGACTTACACAGAGCAAAATAAAACCAAACAGGAAAAAAAGGAAGGGAAACGAAAGGGAAAATAACAAACAGAAAGGAGAGCATTCTCTTTTTTTTTTTTTTTTTTTTTGAGACAGAGTCTTGCTCTGTCAGCCAGGCTGGAGTGCAGTGGCGTGATCTCGGCTCACTGCAACCTCTGCCTCCTGGGCTCAAGCAATTCTCCTGCCTCAGCCTCCCAGGTAGCTGGGATTACAGGCGTGTGCTACCATGCCCGGCTAATTTTTGTATTTTTAGTAGAGACGGGGTTTCACCATGTTGGCCAGGCCGGTCTCGAACTCCTGACCTCAGGTAATCCAACCGCCTCGGCCTCCCAAAGTGCTGGGATTACAGACGTGAGCCACCACACGCGGCCAGCAGAGTATTCTCAATTATATACAATTTATTCTTAGACCTGAGAGGAGTCAGTGAAAATGATCTGACTGAAGGGTGTGATCTGAACTAGAAAGTATTTTGAAGTAAAATTGACTTAGATGAGGACAAACGATAGCAGTACCTTGAGTTTTATCATTATTCCAGGGGTAGTAGCAAACCATTTACAATTTGAAGCTGGTGAGAGACATAATGGAAAGAAATCAAAGAATGCTGAAGAGTCAAAGCTAGATTAAATTCTGGCTTCATTGCTCACCATCTGTGTGGTTTGGGGAAAATTACTTGACTTTTCTAAGACTTATTATATGTAAAATGGGAATAATCATAGCTGCCTGAAAGAAGCGATAGAAAGATACAAAGAGAAAATGTGTGTAAAGGCACTTTATGTAATGTTTAGGACATAAAAAGTGTAGGTGCTGGTGGCAGGAAGAGTATTGATATTAGCAATAATAAAATGTACTCCAGAAAGGTAAACCTGGCATCACTGTGCAGGTGAATTGGGCAGGGACCAGCAGCAGGAAAGCTATGGGAAGTTTTTGCAAATAATCCAGACAAAACTAGAAGGTTAGTGACACTATTGATGGGAATTAGAAAATCAGAAGGGAGAGGCTGGGCGTGGTGGCTCATGCCTATAATCCCAGCACTTTGGGAGGCTGAGGCGGGCAGATCACTTGAGGTCAGGAGTCCGAGACCAGCCTGGCCAACATGGTGAAACCCCGTTTCTATTAAAAATACAAAAATTAGCTAGGCATGGTGGCGCACACCTGTAATCCCAGCTACTCGGGAGGCTGAGGCAGGAGAATTGCTTGAATCCAGGAGGCGGAGGTTGCAGTGAGCTGAGATCATGCCACTGCATTCCAGCCTGGGTGACACCGTGAGGCTCTGTCCCAAAAAATAAAAAACTTAAAAAAAAAATCAGAAGGCAGAATAAAATTTGGAGGAGAAGAAAAAATATTTGATTTGTTCCAAGTTGAGTTTTGACATTGTGAAGTAAAATGTGATGATCTATGAGGAAGGGTTTGTCTAGGAAGTTACTGAAATGTAAAGAGAATTCAGGTGAAGGACAGACTGGAGAGACTTCAAAGCCTTCAGAGGGAACCCATATTCTCAATGCAAACATTATGTCTGTCCATCCCAATCCCTGTAGGTGGCCATGAGAACATATTAAGCTATCCAAAGGGACAAGTAGCGGTGAAAGCCCAGCATAGTCACGGGGAGCCAGCTAGCTGGGCGGAAGCCAACACGTACTCTTTCTTCCGGGCTGACTTCCGCTTCTCTTCATTGACTTCGTGGTTGGCGTCCCGCAGCTTGACCTCCCGATCCGAAAGGCTTGCTGGGATAATATCCAGCTCCAGGTCCTTATTATCCTGCACATGGAGGGATCACAAAGGTCACCTTGTGATGCTTTGGGAAAGCAACTCACTGGAGTTGAGGGAGGTGGTAAAAGGGGGAAAAAAAGATATAATGGAGAAGGATAAAAACATGAGGGATCTTACAGACTCATACCCATAAGCACTCTTCTTCATGGTATCATTATTGTTTTTTCAAATAAGAGAGAAATAAAATGTTCAGGTCAAATGTTTAGGGTAAATATCCATAGTAAGAAAAAACAATGAACATATTTGATAATTATGTGTCTATTTCCCCAAGGCCTTTGGTCCTAATTAAATCTAAACACACCCGTAAATTAGTCTAAGACTGATTCTTAACCATTTAAAATAGATGTGAAACAAAAACACATAAAGATATAAAAACATCTTTCATTTGTCAAAAGAAAATAATCAAATCAAATATATTTATTTAAACAAGAAATTTCCCTTGGAAACAGAAAGCTAAATAACAGAGCAATGACTGAACTTTCTCATTGCTCATCCCTGCTAATTTTAACCACCATTTGGTATTTATATATGATGGAACTTCCTAGATAAAAACTCACAGATTAAAGCCTGGGGGAGACATTAACTCTCTCAACTTTAGGTAGTTTGGCCACTTCACTCTCCAGGCTGCTCTGCTTCAGATCATGAGCCTATTTGAAGATTTAAGAATTAGACATCCTAGGATTAAATTGCCAGGCTGTATTAAGCTCTTAATTCACAGGTTACTAACCCCTATTATAAAGAAGAGATTAAAAGTCCATCTTCCCTGGTTCATGGCAAATTGTACCTCTGTTCGGTTGAAATGTCAAATAACCCTTGTACAAATTGCACCCCTTATTCTTGAAAGAGTACTATTATATATACTGGGGACTCTAATCATTTGCTGATTAACATAATTGGGTGGAAGATGGTACTTATGAAGCCAAGATAAAGCTTTTGGTTCTCAAAGTCAACAGTTAACTCTATACAGAGAAAAACTCTGTTCTGTAGCCATAGGCCCCACTACTGGCCAGTCGATTTTGTAATGTATAGAGTACTAATCACAGGGGACTGAAGGTTAATGGATCAGCAAGATCCACCCAGCACTCCCCACTAGAAAAGCCACACAAGTCAAGCGCTCTAGGAGTCAATAGCTCAGAAGAACTGCTCTGGAAACATGCTTTTCTTCCATGGCGATGAGGGCAGTGGTGCTCAGGGAGATGAGAAGGGAGGATGTCCCAGAGGACAATACCCCTGCCTACCTCTGTGTTGACTCCTAGGGCTTTCTCCAGTGAGTATCGGTACTTTCCCATCCTCAGGGAGAAATCTCTGTAGTGCTTGTCCACCGTGGTCACCCATTTCCTTATCTCCGTGGCATGAATGTGGCCTTTTTCCACAAAGCTATCGGCCAGCTGAATCAGAAGCTTCACCTTCTCCTTTGTTTGCTGCCCCAAAAGATGGCCTTAAGTTACTGGATTACATTTATTCTCCTGCCCCTTCACCCCAAATCCTCTCTTCCTGTTTAGAGCAGCCATAGATACCTCATAGCTGACTACCTGGGTATGTATCCCAGCTTTGTTACTACTAACTGGGAGATCTCGAGCAAGTTATTGAAACCCTCTGTGCCTCCATTTCTTCATCTGCAAAAAGGAAATCATAATATTACAGTCATCCCTCAGTGCTGGGGTGGGGGGAACTTGTTCCAGGGCCCCCCATGGATACCAAAATCCAGATATGCAAGTTCCTTATATAACATGGTGTGGTTTTTGCTTACAACTTACCCACATCCTCAGGAACACTTCAAATCATCTCTAAATTACTTACAATACCTAATACAATGTAAATACTAAGTAAATAGTTGTTATTCCGTATGGCTTAGGGAATGATGACAAGAACAAAAAAAGTCTGTATATGTTCAGTACAGGCACAACCATCCATTTGAAAAAAAAACATTTTCAGTTCATGGTTGGTTGAATCCACGGATGCGACACCTGTAGATACGGAGGGCTGATCCTACTTCAGAGGGCTGGTGTATTAAATGAGTTGACAAATGTAGAATGCTTAGTACAGTGGAAGACAGTAAGAACTCAGTAAGCCATAAACATTAACCATTATTATTACTGATGTAAGAATCTCTTACATTAATATGCTTTTAATTTACATAGTGTGTTACTGTATCTGAAAGCCATTTGAGTTTAGATGCATCCTTAGGAAGTAGGTGGAGGGAAGTGATGCAGGTCTCTTTGAACCACAGATGAAAAAAATCTGAGGCTTAGAGAGGCTTAGGGCTGGTCCAACTTCATACTACCAGTGAGCAAACAGAGCCTATTTGTCTCTGCCCTTTAGTTCCTAGTTTCCCTCTCCACTGTACCAGCTCTAAACCTCATATAAGTTGGCACATGCCAGGATCTAAATAAATACAATGAGCAGATTTAAGAGTTAACTCTGTCCCTGTCACCACCAGAATCTTGTCTTTAGTTTCCATTAGAGAGCAGGAGAAAGAGGTTAATAAAGCCATCATCTATTATAGGACTAGGTAAAGTAGAACTCTGATGTTTACTGGATTAATTTCATTTTTAGCAAGAGTTTGTTCAATACCTACTTGGTCCGTAGTACTGTGTAAAGAGCTATAGTTTAGGGCTTGGGGGTCAAACAAAAGGAAAAAAATCTTCATTTCACACAGAGTAGGTAAATAACTCAGGGCATTATGTAATTGAATGTCAAAATGGGAGAATGTAGAGTTAACACTATAGGAATTTTAAAAGGAGAAAATGAAGGCGGACAGGCATGGGTAGGGGAGGTCTCACGGAGAAGCAGTACTTAAGCTGGGTAAGTCATGGGAATGAGAGAGACACCCAACAAGCAGACTGCTGCTTATTTTTTAATCCTAAGTTTGGATTTTCAAACTCTGAAATTGCTCAGGGAAAGGAAAGAACATTTAAATACTATTCTAAGAAGAAAAATTATCTTTTGGACTGGAGGAAAGTGGGTCCAAGGTTTAAACCATGCTACAATCTAGATATCAGGGAAACTGAGGCAAAACATCACTGGAGCAACAGCAGAAAAAACAACAGAGCCCTTCTTTCTTTATTCTACTATCCTCACCCCATCTGCTCCTTCCAGGCCTATCTACAGCCCCTCCCATGAGAGATCAACCCTCCCAAGAAATGCTGGAGAAAGAGGGCGTCAGAGAGGAGAGTTGAGAGTGCTCTGCCTGCCGCACACATGGCCAGGGACCAGGGACCAGGGATCCAGCTCTCCAGTAGCTCACTCGGCACATGGAGCCTCTCCTATCTCAGGACAGTAGGCTGGTGCCTGGCACTGGAAGATAAAGGGCAAGAGCTTTGGTGTGAAGGAAAGGAGGTAGGTGTGAGGATAGCCGAAACATCTCCTCAGCCATGAAAAGGCAGAGTAATAACAGGGAGAATTGGTTAAGATAGAATTAGCAGATTCTATTCAAAATAGAATCTACTTGATTCTATCTAAACTAGAATTATTGAACCCCTTTTTAATCATCTTATTCATTTATATATCTCCAGTGTCTAAGCATCCTGAGGACTTTCATCTTATTGCATGTAGGGTGTTTTTTATTTTTATTTTTCCTGAAAACAATTTTCTTTGGTTTTCTATTTACTTAAAACAGAGACCATGTGTTTATGGAAAAGTCTTGGAAATACATATTCTCTGCTCTTGGTAAAGTGACTCCACCTATAAGAAAGGGTTTTACAGCCAGCTGGTGGCAGCAGCCATACTAGGGCAGCTCTACCAGAGAAAATTATATCTTAAAACATCAAAATTGTGATTCGGAGTCAGCAAAGCAAATAGTTTGTGACCAAGAGTATTCTAGGTATGTGTGGGGACTAGAGGAGCAAAGAGACAGTAAAATGAGTTTAGATGCATCCTTAGGAAGTAGGTAGAGGGAAGTGTAGACACGCCCTTCCCCATGCGGCTCCACCTACCTTTGTAGCAGCCCTGTCTCCACTGCTCTTCATTCCCTACACTGCAGCCATGTTGAATGTTGCATGCCTCTCCTGCTGTGATGAGTGGTTCCTACTCATTCCCACTCTCAATTGAATGCCCTTTTTCCTCTCCTCTCCTCCCCAAAAAACAAGTGGGCAATGCCTTCCCAGTGTTCCCACAGTATCACATACATGCTTCTATTTTAGCATACATCACATTATTTATAAGTCTCCTTCATTAGACCATGAACCCTAAAAGGTAAGTATTATATCTTATTCATTTGTATATCTCCAGTGTCTAGAAAATAGTAAGCATACCATCAATGTTGACTGAATGAATGAATGAGCAAATCTTGTGTTTGGAGGTGAGTAAAGCTAGACCAGCAAGAGTTGAAGATTTTTATTGGGAAGAAGTAGATGATAAATTTGGCCCATGAATTGGATAAGTGCACTTAGACATCAACCATGGCCATGGTCCCCACTGGGAGTATTCTGAAATGGTTTCTTATACATAGGTGATTGTGGTGGCACCACATGACCTGCCAAATGCCTGGTCACAGCTTTTGAGATCAGAGGTAAAAACTTGTCTTATGAGGGCAGCCCATCAAGATGCAGCCAGTGACTTCTGAGGTGTCCTGGCCTAAAAGCTGTGTCTAAATAGGGGACTAGAAATAAGCTGGGTCAATTGGGGTTGTTTCCCTGAGGATTTAAACTGTACAGACAGGGATCTGGGTGATTGCTTGCAGAGTAGAAGTGAAATCACAGAAAGCAGAGAGGAAGAAGAAAAAGGAAGCTGTGGTATAGAAATGGTAGAACATTATACAGATTCTGGTCTTCCACTCTCAGATGATGACCAGATGACGTGGCTGCTTGAGACACCCTTGGTCTTGGGTGACATTCCAGTTTTCATCTCCAGAGGTGACACTATGCCACATTTCTTGTTCTTCCCATGGGGCTGAGTCACTGAGCTTTTTCTGGGTTTCTGGGAGGTTCAGACACATCGCTTCTATCTTCTTTATTTCCACACGTGGCCATACATATCTTTTCTCGTTCAACCTAAGCCCACTTGAAACTCAAATCTTTCCTCCAAAGACAGTAACTTATAGAAACTAATAAAATGGGGTCAGACTGCAGCAGTTCTTGAATGAAAAGTTCAGAAGTATGGACATGATCTTGTGGCCAAAAGGGAAACTTTGGGTACCATAATTCATCTGGGCCTGGAAATCTAGACCTGAGAGCTCACTTATCTTGGGCTTCATGTGTCCCCTAATTTATGTCTTGCCTCTCCATTTTGAATTCTAGTTATCTGCTGGAAAAGACAGAGGTTCAAAAGAGGGGTTCAGTAATTCTATTTTTTTTCTATCCCTCCCTCTCTCTTTCCCTCCCCACTCTCTCTTTTCCTCCTTCCCTTTCTTTCTATCTTTGGTTATGATCTTCCTCTAATCAGTGAGCCTCACTCTGAGTAAATTTTTTTAAAGCCCTTTTGACTTTAGCACATTTTACAAGACTTTAAGATTTTGTCTTCTTGATAGTAATCTTATAATCTCATAATTTTCTATATTTGCCTTTCATTATTGATATTCCTTATAATGAGATAATAATAAGGAATATTGATATTCCTTATCAATTTTTTTTTGTAGACACAAATTTACTGAGCTCCTTGTGCAGGTGAATAGGTTTCTTGAAATACATCTTCTGATTCATTCAGCAGGGGATTGTTTGTTATTATACATAAAAGAACCAAAATTTTCAAAACTTTCCATCACATATGAACTATATTCCTCTTCAGAGTCTCAGAAAGACCAGGCGCGGTGGCTCATGTCTGTAATCCCAGCACTTTGGGAGGCAAAGGCAGGTGGATCACCTAAGGTCAGGAGTTCAAGACCAGCCTGGCCAACATGGTGAAACCCTGTCTCTACTAAAAATACAAAAATCAGCCAGACCTGGTGGCAAGCACCTGTAATCGCAGCTACATGGGATGCTGAGGCAGGAGAATCACTTGAACCCAGGAGGTGAAGGTTGCAGTGAGCTGAGGTCACATGACTGCACTCCAGCCTGGGCAACAAGAGTGAAACTCCATCTCAAAAAAAAAAAAAAAAGAGTCTCAGAAATAGCATCACGCCTATCTTTTATCTGAACTGTTTAGATTCTACCTCTCTCGGTCTAAAGTACCATCTGACAACCCCAGTGTTCCCTTTCCTTGCTATCTGAATCTCAGGAAATCATAGTTTAGTTCAGCTAAGGCTCCAGTTGCTTTCATTACTACTTAATTTTCTTTTGTCAAGATGAATTAAGTCCAGTTTATCTCAAGGCTTCTTTCATTTTCAGAGATGAAATTACCAGCTTAAAAAAGTATTTTCTTAACATTATTAGTCATTGGCAAATGCAAATCAAAACCCACAATGAATACCACTCCACACCCTCTAGGATGGCTATATAAAAAGACACAGTAACAAGTGTTGGTGAGGATGTGGAGAAACTGGAACCCTCACAAACTGCTGGTGAGAGTACAAAATGGTATACCTACTTTGAAAAACAGTTTAGCAGTTCCTCAAAAAGTTAAACATAGTAGAACTCCATATAACCCAACCATTCCACTCCCAGGTATGCACATAAGGGAACTGAAACATCTGTTCACGCCAAAACTTGAATATAAAGGTTTATAGCAGCATTATTCATGACAGCCAAAAGCCAGAAACAACCCAAATGTCCATCAACTGATGAATAGTAAACAAAAAGTGGTATATCAATGAAATGGCATGCTATTTAGCAATAATAGGACAAAAGGATTGATACATGCGAATAGCATGGATGAATCCTGAAAGCATTAGGCTAGGGGAAGTAAGCCAGTCACAGAAGATCTCATATTGTATGATTCCATTTATATGAAATGCCCAAACAGGCAAACCCATAGAGACTGAAAGCAGATGAGTAGTTGCCAGGGGTTGAGGAGAGTAGGGAATGCAGAGTGACTGCTAATGGGCATGAGGTTTCTTTCTAGGGTAATGAAAATGTTCTGGAATGAAACAGTGGCAATGTTTGCACAACTTTGTGAATATAGTAAAAACCATGGAATTTGTAAAAAATGAAAAACAAGATAATCTTTAAAAAGTTTTACTTTTAGAAGAAATGGAGTTCTTTCAAATGTCATGATGACTAAGCTTCCCCATCTCCGTGTGCCTTGACCCCTTATACATTTTGAAACCCATAATAGGAAAATACCATTTCTATACTTTTAATGGACTGTCTATAGGCCTACCACAACATGAAAATGATGTTTTCCTTTTTTCCTCATTCAAACTTTTTATTTCATTTTTATTCTTGTATTTGTGAGCTTTTACATAGAAAGTATCTTTCTATATCCAATGGTTCTTCTACTTGGTCTGTTCCTTTGGACCACAGTATTATTAAATTCAATGTACTCCACTGCCCTATTCAACCATAAGGGCCACTGTATGTATTCTCTTGTGGCTAAAGGTCAATTTGGTTTCCATTTCAAATTCATTTTATTGGTTATAAAGATTATAATCAAAGACAGCTGATTAGAAGAGGTTTACCTCTGGAAAGTGGGATTAGGGTGGGGCAGGAGGCTGCTGCCTCTAATCAGAAGCTCCTCAACTGGGTTTGTTATCCTGTAGATATTCTAATATGAATAACCATGAGATTTGGAACATGATAGTTACATCAGGAGGGACAGAGAACATAGACAGCCAAAGTAGAAGATTCATATTAAATATAAATGAGGAGGGGGTGAATCTACTCAAACTTCCTTTTTTCCTTATGGTCTTGAATGGTTGTAGCCTCCTTTGAATGTGTAAAATGCAGTTAGGTAACCTAGGGAACTCAAAATGAATAGTGTGGTTCTTGTCTTTAAGTATCCTGTCGGCTTATATAGGCAATAACATTGCATAGATTACTGGAGGAGAGATGGTCTGTGCCAGGTGAAGGGTTATACGGACAAGGGCCGTAGTGCAGGGATGAGCTGGATCATATCCTGGTATGTGGGAAGGATCATAGAGGAGGAGGCTCTAGAGTGGAAAGGAGGGGCTCCTCTTAAAAAGCACAAACTAGAGGGAAGGGAAGGGTATTCCAGGCAGAGAAATGTATGAAAAAAGGCACATAGACAAAAAAGAATATGATGTATCTCTCAGAGGCTCAGAGAATACATCCATTCAGCTGGAGCATAAAGCCTGCATAAAATAATAATTGAAAATAAAACTGGGGAGGTAGGGTAGCACAGCTGTAGAGTTGTGGAGCATTATCCTAAAGGCATTGGAAAATCATTAAAGTTCTTGATCTGGGTGGTTATGTGACCAAAGTAGCATTTTAAAGATGAATAGCAATAAAGGACAGGGTGGATTGGAAGGAAGGAAAGACCAAAGGCATGCAATCAAATTAGGAAGCTACTACAGCTCAGGGTAGTAGCTATGTGAATGAAAAAGAGGAGAAATATATGAAGACAGTTACAAAGGTAGGATGAATAAGATTGACTGAACAATTCTTCACATTTCCACTTTGATTATGGAAAGATTTTGATCCTATGACGTTCTGGGTATCTGCTGTGATCCACCCTATGCAGACAGGAACACCAATGGATCTCATACTATTCAGCCTGTTAATGGCTCATTATAAGCCCTATTTGGAGAAGGGCGGATAAAGCCAACTTGTTAATTCACAGCCATTTTAATTTGGATTTGAATAGGGTTCTGTGCATCTGCCACCTTCTTTGTGCTGTTTGCTTTTACTGGTATTGAAATGAGTCTCTTATCTGTGCTCATAGCTTTTTGCATTAGACAAAAAGGCCCAAAATTCACAAGGATGCAGGGAGAGGCTCCCCAATATTGAGAGTTCATAGGAAAAGATTCATAGAGTGGATAGCCACTTCTGAAATATCAGCTCAGGAATGAGGCTAAGGGCCTAATTTGTCACACCAAACCAGAGGAACATTCCTTATAGTGTCAGAGGGATCTCCGGATAGGATGTTTCCCACCTTGACCCCAACAAGAACATCTCTTAACCTGGGAAGAGCATATGTTTTGTGTGGAAGTGATGCCAAAAAAGCCTCCTGTGTGGCAAGGAGCCCCGTGTGAGAGATGAGGACGTTACAAAGAGGAACTTGAGACAGATCAGATTTTCATTCAAACCCAAGCATCCTCAGATCAAATCCTGGCTGTGAAAACAGATGAAAATCAGGTTTCCTTCTATTATAGCATTTCCCACAATCTTGGTATGAATTGGTATGTACATCCTTGCACATTTTGCTCCCCAGAGACCCAGCCTAGCCTAGCTCATGAGCGGGTTTGAGGCCAGATGGAAATAGCTCAGAAAAGGAGAAATTCACCTGTTTTGTGTACCCATATATAGTCACTAGCCCTTCTAATAAGGTGGACTTCCCAAACCACTCAAAGTGCAAGAATATGTGGATATCTGCAGTGTTCACATGCACATGTGACATTTTTACATGAATACACCCTTTTCCCTGATTTGGTCTGAAAGAATACAGCAGATTCCAGAACCTGAAGCATGAAGATGAGTATCTGGAAGCACAGTATATAGCAATTGACTTCCTGCATACAGCTGCTCTACCCAGCAGCTGCAATTCTTTGGGTATTCAGGTTTCTAAAGAGACAATCCTTTAGGACATTTACATGCTTCCCCCCTTGCCACTGTAGCCAGGTATTTTTGCTTACAGAAGCTGTCTTTGCTTCCATAATGTGAAATTGGCCAGAATGGAGAGTTCTGGGTGGATCTGGGGGAGGCTCTGGGATGTTTCCTACCTTGGCAGGCACCCTGAATTCCCCATATTCTTTCAGCAGTTCCTGAGTCTCCTCTGTGGTCTCTCCAGTGGAGGTATGTGTTGAGAGGTAAAATTCACCTGTTTCTTGGATCCAGTCAAGCGCCTATGGGAGGAAACAACTCATCCAGTCCCCAAAAAGGCAGCTGTCAGTAGGAAAACATGCCATACTACAATGAAGGTTATTGTTGGGACAACTTAATGGACCCAGGAAACACTGACAATTTGATTGGTATGTAGCTCTGGAGTTTTTTTTTATGAATGAGCCCTCCCTTGCTTTGGAACATTTACCAGCAAAGAGAGGGTCTCCCCCAGTAGACTGAGGACTCTTCTAGGCCAGGCCTAATATCATCCACGAATTAGGGGCATAGTGGGTGACCTAGCATTTCCTCACATCTCCTGGTACCAAACTCAAAACATAGAGCTTGGTAAATGCTGAACTGCTGACAGGTGACAACCTGCTTTCTTTCTTCTTTATTCCCCACTCCCATCCCCAATCTGCTGCTGTGGCCCTCTTCTGGACTAAGCCTTGGTGATGGGCCTCTGTATGCTCCCCAGAACTGAGATAGTGCCAGGGAAAGCTTTGGACAACCTGCTTAGCGCTGCGCTCGAACACCACATATTGCTGGCATTGGTCTAACCGCCGCTTCTTCAAGGTCCAGAAATGCAGCACGCGATTCTCCCTCTGCAGGAGCTCACTCAGGATGGCTGTGGGCAGAGGAGATGCATGATGGTCACAAGGGGCTCTGAGCAAATCCAACCAACCCCTTCAGCCCCACGGCCCAGGTGCCAGGTGACCATGACTGTGATTTCAAGCATCCCCATGAGACTAATCCAGCATCAGAAGAAAGGGAGCAAAAGCTGGATACAGAAAGGATTTCCTAGAAACGAGCAAGGTCGAGGAGTCTAGGGGGAGAGCCCATTGATGAGAGTTCCATCAACTAAGGTGGGAAGAATATAACACCAGTGACTTACAAATGACCCCGATTCTCTTTATAGCAAAATTAGTCCTTGGTTCTAAGAAATCTTAAGAAGCAACTAATTCAATTGGCCCCCAGAGTCTAATGAGCATGGGTGGACCTTGACAGGAATCTCAGTCATTCTTAAGGACTCATTAGAAGAGAGGCAGGAGATTTATAGTGGAATGAGGGCTGGTATCACTGGCTTGACAACCCACATCATGAGCAATGTTCTTGGACCTGCACAAGAGGTTGTGCACACAGCACTTTAACGGCACAGCCTCTAAACACTTCTAAATAGTGGTCATAGGGAAGCTGTGTTGGAATTATGTCTTCCTGTTGTCTCTGGGCCCATGTTGTTTTGGATGTGATCATAAGAAAAGCTAAAAGTGGTGTTAAATGAGTGTATATACAAGGCATATAGCAAAGCAAGTGGGCCATGGTTAGGTATTCAGTCCATGCTATTTCCCTCTCTAAATTTTCTGTTGTTTCAGGAATAGCTGGGTACGTGGATAGATGTCTTAAGCGTTTTAAATAGTATGTTCTATGCTGGAAGCAATCAAATTTATTTTATTATGTCTTCTTCCTGCTTCCTGTTGCTATATTAGATATTAACAAAATATACAATAATAACCATATGAATATCACATACTCAGTATGTGGAAGACACTCATTTTTATAATACCCCATAATGCATGCACCATTATTATCTCCATTATACAGATGAGAAAACTGAGGTTTAGAGAAAGCTTTTGAGAAAGCGTAGGGAAGGTAACTAGCTCAGGGTTGTTCAGATAGGAAAGGGCAGAGTTCAGATTCGGGCCAAATCTGACTTCAGAGCCTGAGTTGTTAGTCACCTTGGTCTCCCATATTACTAAGACTATAAAGTACAACTTTCTATGCTTTACGAAGATGGTACAACCCAAAGTGAAGTGCTTGCACTGAGAAGTTTTTGTTGATTTTATGTACTTTTCATACTCCTTCATTCTCACCTCCCCAGCCAAGTTTGGCTTTCTGAGGACAGAATCTGTTTTTCATCTTTTAGGCTAAGTGCTTTTTTTTCTTTCTCTCTCTTTCTTTCTTTCTTTTTCTTGTTCTTTTTTTTTTTTTTTGACAGGGTCTTGCTCTGTCACCCAAGATGGAGTGCAGTCATAGCTCATTGCAGCCTCAACCTCCCAGGCTCAAGTGATCCTCCCACTTCAGCCACCTGAGTAGCTGAGACTATAGGCACACGCCACCACACCCAGTCAATTTGTAAACATTTTTTTTTTTTTGTAGAGATGGGGGTCTCACTATGTTGCCCAGGCTGGTCTCAAACTTCTGAGCTCAAGTGATCCTCCTTCCTCGGTCTCCCAAAGTGCTAGGATTACAGGCGCGAGCCACCGTGCTCAGCCTTTTTTGGGTCCAATCATTCACCCTTCCCTGTATCTAAGCCTTTATCATGTAACTTTTTCATTCCTTCCCAAAGAGGCAAGTACAGTTGCTCACTCCCCAACTGATCTCTGGCTTAGCTACATAACTTGCTTTAGCAAATGAGTTGTTAACAGATAAAACACAAGCAGGGCCTTGAAATGTACTTGCAGACTTGACTTTGCTCCTTGTACCTCTGCTATCACCACTATAGGAAATTCTCCTGGGTAACTGCTGCCCCTTCGACCCAGGTCCCAGAATAAATACACGTGGAGCAAACAAGCTCTTACCTGGAGTGAAGGAGCCAAGCTAGCTAGACTTGCAGACTGAAGCACAACTGCACTGCTGAGCCCAGTTGAGATGCTGCTCCTCAGCCAATGCACAGCCACTTCAACAACATATGTTTACAGTTGGATATCATTGAATTTCTTGGTTGTTATGCAGCCATATAACAACCAGCAGCATAAAAAAGCCAAAAATATATGGCACTGGCTTTGAGTCTAGGTAGTAGGTGAAAAGGAAACTGATATATAAGGGATTGTAGGTCCCTGCTCAGGTGGAAGCTTCAATTGGGCAAGGAAGGAGTAGAAACCCATTTCTTTTAGTCTTTATGTTCCCTAGCCAGAGTTTTGCTCATTGAAGCTCCCTCCCTCTATGGTGTGACTGAGGGAATCAACCCAGATCTGGCAGAAATCATAAAGAGTTTCAGGATTATTTTCCCCCCTCTTCCTGAAAGCTTTTACATGGGCAACAACTTGGTCTTGCCTCCAAGAAGATGTAGGCATTTCCCACTGTCTCTGGGTGCCTGTTATTCTTCAGCACGCAGAGGTGTAGGTGGGATATGTGGTCTCTCAGTAGGCAGCTGGCCTCACCCAAGCTCCCATCTACATTTGGAAGCCAGAACATATGCTTTCAAATGTGCTGGAAGAAGTGACATAATACCAGCTCCCCACAGGTCCCCTGACCACAAATAGAATAGCACATTTGGAAGAGAAACTCTGCTCCCTCCTCTCTGTAGGGAACTTTGATTCCATTCTTTCCAGTGGTCTCTGTTCTCTCCAACTCTTGAGCTATCTGAGCAAAGAGGGAAGCTCTTCTTAAGCAGACCACGCACCCTACCCTGTCCATGGTGTCTCCAAGCCCATACCCCACTCCTCACTCCAAGTCGGCTTGGGTTCCATTCCTAGCCTCGGACTCCAGAGTTATATTTCTCTGCCTTGGCAAGATGACATTTGTTAAACTCTTCACTCACTCAAAGGCTAATTTCTGCATGGTCAGAATAATTCCACAGATAATGATTTAAGTTTCACATGGTCAGATAATAGGCAATTTTTAAAAGTTATATATTTATTATCATAGACTTTCTAGAATTCGGAGATATTAAAGATTATGTAGAATAGCACTTATCTAAATTTTATGAACACACAAATTACCTGGTTGGTAGAATTGGGCAGTTTTGCCAAAATGCAGGTTCTTTGTTCTTTTTTTCTTTTTTTTCTTTTCTTTTTTCTTTTTTTGAGACAGCGTCTCACTCTATTGCCCAGGCTGGAGTACAATGGTGCAAACATGGCTCACTGCAGCCTCCAGCTCTTGGGCTCAAATGAGCCTTCCATCTCGGCCTCCTGAATAACTAGAGCTATAGGCACGCCACCATACCAGGCTAATTTTTTAATTTTTTGTAGAGATGGGGTCTCAATATGTTGCCCAGGCTGGTCTTGAACTCCTGGCCTCAAGCAACCCTCCCATCTCAGCCTCCCAAAGTGCCAAAATGCAGTTTCTGACTCAGTCGGTTTGGGTGTGGCCTGAGATTCTATATTTCATACACTCTCCTAGGGATGTCATTGTGGCTGGTCTGGGAACTACAATTTGAGGAGCAAGAGTCTAGATGCTCCCCTCATTTTAAATAAGAAACTAAAGTTTTAAAAGGCTTAATCAATCAGTGACAAATCCAGGGTCAGCATTTGGTTTTAGGATTCTCAGTCCACATTCTGTTCCTAGGCTATAAGACACCCTAGTCTTGTGCTGTTCAATATATTAACCAGGAATCAAAATCAGTAATTTACATTTAAATTAGTTAATATTAAATACAAGTTAAAATTTAGTTCCTTAGTTGCACTAGCTCAGTAGCTGCTGTATTGCACAGCGTAGATACAGGCAATTTCCATTATTTCAGAAAATTCCACTAGGCAGTGCTGTCCAGACTCTAAGATAAATGAAAATACTTGGGGAAATTTTATCCTTGTTTTTGCCTTCCAGATCTTGATGCGTGTTTAAAAATTGACCATGAATCATTACTGCCCACACCATCCCACATCATACATTTTCATTTCTAAGGAGAAGCAGCAGGAAATTTGAGATTGTGTGAAAACTGGGTACATGGTATATTTCAGGGAGGGGCTGTCGCTGAAGTGACTGGTGGCTGGGCAGGTCTCTCACTGACCTTTCACTTGTTGCTCGGGTCCCCGAGTGTGGCTGGCGACACTGGGCATGCTGACGTTGTTCCTGTGGATGTACTTGAGAAACACCTCAGCATTCCGCCGAGCCAGGGTGCAGGCCTGCGAAAGACAAAGCTGTGAGGCCCCTGTCCCAGCAGGTGTATGGAATCCAAGACAATGGAGAAGGCATACCCTCCTTCCTTCCATATTTTCTTTTGCTTTTTTTTTTTTTCTTTTTTGAGACAGAGTCTCACTCTGTTGCCTAGGCTGCAGTGCAGTGGCATGATCATAGCTCACCGCAGTCTCCACCTCCCAGGCTCAAGCAGTCCTTCCATCTCAGCCTCCTGAGTAGCTGGGACTACAGGTGCCCACCGCCACACCTAGGTAACTTTGTGCATTTTTTGTAAACATGAGGTCTCACTATGTTGCCCAGGCTGGTCTCAAACTACTGGGCTCAAGCAATCTGCCCACCTTGGCCTCCCAAAGTGCTAGGATTACAGGCATGAGCCATGGCACCTGGCTCCTCCTTATACTTTTTAGGAGGCTCAAGAACTCTGAAGGAATCTAGAAGGAGCAGAGCTCTGGAAGTCACCACTGGTTCATGGAGACTCCAATTCCAATTTATGGAGCTCACCCTTCTGAGCTTTCCTTTTTTCAAGTGAAGAATTACTCCTTGTGTCTCTGCCCATTCCATCTCAGATAAAAATCAGAAATGAGCCACCTCTCGTCTCCTTCTATGTTGATCAGGCATTACTAACATTCACTCTCAGCCTACTTTTCCTCAGCCACCAGAATGCCTCTTACGTGACCACTGGTGTAAGCTCAGGAAACATAAACCCACTTGAAAATCAGTGTGACTTAGACTTGAGCAAGTAAATTTGGTAAACACATCTATTAACCCTACATTCCAAATCTAAATGGAAATTACAAACATTTTTCAGACTTATTTGCCCATGAAGTCCCCCTCATCTAAATATCACTAATAAGCATTCTATTGTTGAAGAATGCCAGTCTACATAAAGGACTAACAGCTGTTATATTACCTACCCCCTTTACGACTCATATTAGCTGTGGGTGGCAGAGAGAGGGCTGATCACATTCTCCTTGCTGTGCTGATGGACAAGACTGGTGCCCAGAAAGGGCAGGAGCCAGGAAGCAACACAGATCTAGGATCTAGGATGACTGACAGTATTTCTTGTTCCTCTCAAGCCTAGTACTTTCTGTATTTCTCTACAAAGCAGGTTTTTTTTCTGGTTGTAAAGTAATAAATACTAGCATACTAATTTTTAATCCATAGTTTTCAGAATTAAATTATCTCTAGATAAACTGAAATTTTATTTCATTTTTCTTTGAAATTTTTTTCTTCTACACACCCTGAAATGTAAAATTTTAGAATCTTATACTTTCCCTCTGATCCTACAAATAATATAATTAAAAATTATTATATAATTAATAGAAACAATTATAAAATTTTATAATTTTCTGGTTATATAAAAAAATTAGCAACAAAGGCATCTGGAATATCTGGTACACAAACGCCTGCTGGTGTGTCCATGAACACAGAGGCTCCTGAATAAAACAGCTTGATGGTGGTCTCAGCTTAAGGAGTTTCAAGTGGATCAACTAATGAATATAAATAAAGAGCTCAATATTCTATTTACTGGGCATATCATTCCCACAGTGACAGGGAGCTTCTCACTATGGTTTCAGGGACATATGGAAAACATCAGACCAGAGGGTTTTCTATTTCTTTCTTCAATAGAAACATTTTCTTTTAATTTTATGAAGAAATATATTTACACTTCTGTTTGAGATTTTTATATGCTCTACTTAAATTGTTCCATTTTAAAATTTGCTTTGTAATAGGGAAAACTTTAAAAAATCATCATAAGCTCTGCACAGAAGAATTTCTATTTAGTCTTACTAGTAAGAGCTGATTACTAGAGGTTCTGACCCATATAGGTGCGGATACCAGATAGATAGGAGGAGGGCAGGGAGAGGCCAGCTTAAAAAAAATAAAAATTAAGCTCAAGGTGGTAGTCAAGTAGAGAAAATCCCTAATAAAAGAAAGGCAGTTAATTACAGAATTGAATAAAATCAATGGCAACATGTCAGGGTATAAAAATTGTCTCTTCTATTCCCAGAAACCTGAGAGGAAGCAGAACATGAAAGCAAGAAATCTGAGAGCAAATGCAGCCTTTAGATGAGCTTGAACACAGAAGAGAGGCGATCAGAGGAGAAGATCAAAGGCTGGGGAAGGAGGCTCACAAGGACTTCCCACACCAGCTGACAGTCTGTGCAGAGCAGGCCTGTGCTTCCTCCCTCAGAAGGCAGGGCTCTAGCAGAATATTAGGAATAAGGCATTTCTCTCTTAATACAGAAGAATGAACAGTGTCATGTGTGTTGGTAATTGGTAATTGCTAGATTGATAAATAAATAGGGCATCCAAATTCATTTCTTTAATTCTTACCCTAATTTTTGCATCTTCCATTTATAAAATATTTTAATCATGTTTTATATCTAAGCTTATATGTTTTTGATATTACTATCAAAAAATAATTTAATTAGCCAAACACAACTGAATGAAAGCATGTCTTTTTCTCAGTTAACAACATCCACGGGATACTGGGATATCTGAAGATTGCAGTAGTAGTAACAGTGTATCCTGATCGCCTAACTATACAAAAAGTGCAAGAGAGAAATAAATGTTGGAAATGTAACCTTTCACCCTTTGAAATTAACCAGTCAACATCTTCATTACATTCCCTTACCCCTTTAGGGAAGAGGTTAGAAAAAAAGAGGGGCTGGGAAGCATGTTTGAAGCTGCGTGTGTGTGTGTGTGTGTGTGTGTGTGTGTGTGTGTGAGAGAGAGAGAGAAGGAGAAGAAGGAGGAGGAGGAGAAAGAGAAAGAGAGAGAAAGAGAAAGAGAGAGAAAGAGAAAGAAAGAAAAGAGAAAGAGAAAGAGGATGAAAGAACAAGGCGGCCAAGGCCAGGAGTCTGAGCCCTTGCATGACAATGTGCTCTGACCTTAAGAAAGGCCTCCTTTTGTTCCAAATGTTTGCTGATGAGGGGAATGACATGGTCGATCTCTGCTGCTGGCCCCAGCTTATCTCGTCCACCACACCAGTCCTCATCTCTCCGGTATTCTTGCTCTAAGCTCTCCAGGACACTACACACCTAGTGAATCATGGAAGAAAAGACTCAGTAAATTAATTATTCAGGAATTATTCTCTGAGGACCTTCAGCCTATAGAAGCCTACACATATGACATTTTTCATTAGAAGTTTAATGCCTCTGAGACATCTAAGAGAAATCCAGGAGGCAGTGACAGTCCTGTGTCTGAAACCTGGGAGACATGATGACTGGAGATACAGATTTTGGAATCATCTTTTTATGGGAGTTGATGACATTACCTAGGAATAGTAGGTAAAGTAAGAAAGTAAGACAGTCTAGTATCTTTGGAGTTTCAGTGTTTTTACACATTATATTGTTATAATCTCACAATAACTATAAATTAGGTAGAACAGGAAATGAGGTTTGGAGAAGATACTTGACTTATCCGACCATCTGTACTTGTCCCATAGTAAGGAGCCTCAAGCAGAGACAAAGGAGGAAGTTGCCTATGTTGTATGGTTTACAGGCCATAAATGAATGTCATCTTTTTCCTCCCCTGGGGAAAAATGTCTCAAAAATCCCACCATAGGACATGACATCTCCAGAACCTCTATTACAAAATACACATTTCCTGTAGAGGGGTAACAAATTTGGGTTAACCTGAAAGACAGTTAAGAAGCTTTTTAGTTCTAAAGATGCTGAGAGGTCATGCTAAGTGACCTTATAAATGAACTCAGAAGAGAGCAAAAGCATTTTGAAGGGAGTTTGGAGGGAAATTCAGCCTGGGTCCCATAGTGGAAAAACCAAGGCAGCCTAGTATCAGGGCCTGGAGGAGGATGCAGAAAATTGAAACTCATATACCTATACAGCCATCCTTCCAAATCTGTGGGTTCTACATCCATGATTCAACCAACTATGGATTGAAAATACTTAGTTAAAAAGTATAGCAATAAAAAATAATACAAATAAAAACAATAGCATATAACAACTATTTACTATAATACTTAGGTATTATAAGTAATCCAGAGATGATTTAAATTACATGGGAGAATGTACATATCTGTGAGGGGTCCTGGAACAAATACCCCATGGATACTGGATTTCCTTCAGTAGACTTTGGGAATGATTGGATTTCCTTCAATAGACTTTGATTACTTGTTTGGATACGGCAGTAGGGAAGAACTGCTATGACTATCTTTGGCCTTCTCTGAGAAAGTCTTTTGATGAAAAACGTCTTTTTTTTTTTTTTTTTTTTTTTTTTGAGACGGAATCTAGCTTTTTCACCCAGGCTGGAGTGCAGTGGTGCAATCTTGGCTCAATGCAACCTCTGCCTCCCAGGTTCAAGGGATTCTCCTGCCTCAGGCTCCTGAGTAGCTGGGATTACAGTCGCTCACCACCACATCCAGCTAATTTTTGTATTTTTAGTAGAGACAGGGTTTCACCATGTTTGTCAGGCTGGTTTTGAACCCCTGACCTCAAGTGATCCACCTGCCTTGGCCTCCCAAAGTGCTGGGATTATAGGCGTGAGCCTCCGTGCCCAGCCAGATGAAAGATGTCTTTGGATAGGGCATTCATTGAGTTATGAACTGAACTGAAAGATGTGCTGAAAGCTGTCCCAGGAAGAACGCTCTCATAGCCAGACATGCTTCTCATGTCATGAGAAGATCTGTCACCAAACTTGAGGTGACTTCTCTAGTCCCATCTCTAGCATCACATGAGAAGATCTGTCACCAATCTTGAGGTGACTTCTCTAGTCCCATCTCTAGCATCACATGAGAAGATCTGTCACCAATCTTGAGGTGACTTCCCTAGTCCCATCTCTAGCATCACATGAGAAGATCTGTCACCAATCTTGAGGTGACTTCTCTAGTCCCATCTCTAGCATCACATGAGAAGATCTGTCACCAAACTTGAGGTGACTTCTCCAGTCCCATCTCTAGCATCACATGAGAAGATCTGTCACCAAACTTGAGGTGACTTCCCTAGTCCCATCTCTAGCATCACATGAGAAGATCTGTCACCAAACTTGAGGTGACTTCCCTAGTCCCATCTCTAGCATCACATGAGAAGATCTGTCACCAAACTTGAGGTGACTTCTCCAGTCCCATCTCTAGCATCACATGAGAAGATCTGTCACCAAACTTGAGGTGACTTCTCCAGTCCCATCTCTAGCATCACATGAGAAGATCTGTCACCAAACTTGAGGTGACTTCTCCAGTCCCATCTCTAGCATCACATGAGAAGATCTGTCATCAAACTTGAGGTGACTTCTCCAGTCCCATCTCTAGCATCACATGAGAAGATCTGTCATCAAACTTGAGGTGACTTCTCCAGTCCCATCTCTAGCATCACATGAGAAGATCTGTCACCAAACTTGAGGTGACTTCTCCAGTCCCATCTCTAGCATCACATGAGAAGATCTGTCATCAAACTTGAGGTGACTTCTCTAGTCCCATCTCTAGCATCACACCTTTCTTTCTGCAAGGCCTGAAACGTGCAGGCAGCTCATGTTTTGAGATAAAACAGCTTAAAGACATGTAAAAACTTTAAGAAAAAGAGTACTTGAGATCTGTCCCATGATAGGACTGAACTTAGAAGCAAACAATTTGGGATTAGAAGAAATGAGAAATACTTTAACAAGACAGGAAACAGAAATCCAGAGGGGTAAAGTAACCTTCGGCAAGGTCACTTCAGGGTAAAATTTCTTGACTCTTACTCCAGTGTCCTTCACCATCTTGATCCATCTCAAATTAACATTTGTGTATAATATTAGACAGGAATTAAGCCTCATTTGTTTCCATATGGATATTCAGTTGTCCAGCATCCTTTGCTGAAAAGACTTTCCTTCACTCATTGAATTTTTTTGTCAAAAATCAACTGACTGTATATATGTGGATCTATTTCTATAACCACTATTCTGTCTCATTGTGTTTATTCTTATACCAGATACGATTCTGTCTTGATCCCTGCTGCTTTAGAATAAGTCCTTAAATCAGGCAGTGTGACTTGTCCAAGTTTGTTCTTCCTTTTCAAAATCGTTTTGGCTCTTCTAGTTTCTTTGCATTTGTATTCTTTGCATTTGCATTTTATTTCCATATAGATCTTAGAATCAATGTATTAATTTCTACAAAAAAAAAGCTTGCTGGGATTTGATTGAGACTGTGTTGAATCTAGGGATCAACTGGGGAAGCTCTCTATCATCTTAGTCTGCAGCTCCTCACTTCTGTGGCCATCAAAGGAGTCATTCCTCTGAAGCAACAGAAAGGACTGAAAGAAGGGGTGGAGACTCTCACCCTGGCTGCAGGGCCCTCTGATGCGCATGTCATATTTGCTCCAAGGAAGACTTTCCGATGGTCCCTGTAAGTCATCCAAGGAGAATGATTCTCTGATTTATTTCTACCAGGGAACAATTCAGAGAAGGAAACTACTATACACTGAGTAAAATTACTCCTGTTTTAAACCTGTTTCATAAAAAGAATTCCCTAACAGCACCCAAATCATTTTAAAAATCCTCTTAGCCCTGTGCATATTGCTGTACAGATGAAAGGGTAACACACTGCATCGTTATGGCCCTACTGTCCAGCTCCTGCCTTTTCTCCCACAGCAGCATCATCTTATCTGGTGTGTTTCTAGTTCCCTAATGACAGAGAGCTGTGTTTCCTCCATTAGACTGGGGGCCCAAGGAATGAAAGAACCATGTGTTTTTCAAGTAGTGCATAATGCCTAACTGTGGTAGATTTAATTATTGTTCAGCAACTATTCATTCTCCTCTCCCAACCTTCATAGGAGGCATTGCTGCCTCACTAATGTTGGCTTGGCCATGTGACTTATTTTAGCCAATGAGATGAAAGAGAATATGACACAAGCAAAGACTTGAAATGCACTTGTATGGTAGATTTTGGACTCTTGCATTCCTGCCTTTAACTATAAATGTGCCTGAGATGGCTTCAGGTCAAGGAGGACAAGAGACATGGGAACAGATCTAGACCCAGTCTGCAGCTCGAAGCCTAGTTCTACCAAGTTCAGCCAAAATCAACTGAACCTAAGACACTTAAGAAAAAAATAAATGTTTATTGTTTTATGTCACTGAGTTTTGGATTGTTTTGTTACACAGCACTATGGTGGTAACAGCTGACTAATATACTGCCCAAATCTAGCATTTAGTATACACCCAATTTCTATTTCAACACCTCCCTATAGATCTGGTGAGTTTCAGAAATTTATGAGACAAACCCCATAGTCCAGTGCTCAAATGGAAAGGATGATAAGAAAGTCAACTGTGGTGTTTCCACAAACTATTCTTCAAATGTTAGTACTGAAAGGACAGGCTTCTCGCTGACATAAGCACTGCACATTTACACTGCAAGGCAGAAAATGGCCCCCTGGCAATCTCAGCCCCACAAGCCCCACAGTCTTTTCCCTCACCTGTTCAGAAGTTTTGTAAAAGGCCACAGAGGCATTGACCAATTTTAGCCGGTCTTCCATCTTCAGCATGAGCTGCTGCCAGTGGAGGGCCACCTTCTCAGCACATTCCCGGATGGCATCGGCATCGTAGTGGCCGGCCTGGAGCAGCACCTCGGCTTTCTGCTGTACCTGCAGGGCACTCTGGTGCGTCTTCTGCAAGGAAGTGGCATGAAAGAGGGACTGGGCACAAGGAGAGGAGAGAAAGGTCCGTGGGAACAACCCAGGCGTGGTATGGGAGGGGGTGGAGTGAGGCGTGAGTGAAAAGATGCAGAGAAGTTAAAGAGCTTTAAATGACTGATCCATTTTGTCATGACCATTAATACATTATTATTTTTAAAGCATATTTAAAAAAAGAATATCATACATTTTTATTAGCTAATCTCTCACGACCCTAACTCCTGTCCCCACTTCTTTCTTTTTCCTTGCAGCACTCTAGATTTTAAGGACATTTCAGTTTCTGTAGCAGAGAAACAGAAGTTATGTATCAATCTGCTCACTAATTGGTTCATAAATTTCCTTTACAAATAGAATAATAAAATTGTACATTGAGTTTTCGAAGGAGGTTACTACTGCAGTCCCATTTTACAGATCAAGTATAGACAGCACATGAAAAGAAACTTCATGTAACACAAATCTCAGCTAACAATGCAATCATTTAAAACATTAATAATCAGTTGAAAAAGATTCCAGTTGAAGGAATAAATTTGGCAGGTTAATAAAGCTAGAGAGTAACCTCCTACATCATCCCTTAATTACTTCACTGGGGGGCATAACAGTGCAGGAGATAATTCACTTCAATACATAATCCCCATGTTATTTACATATCCCTTGAGGAGATACATATATATGTAGAAGGTCTATTTTCTTTCCTTTTTTTTTTTTTTTTTTTTAGACAGGGTCTTGATCTATCACCGAGGCTGAAGTGCAGTGCAATGGTGCAATCATGGCTTGCTGCAGCCTTGAACTGGGCTCAAGCAATCCTCTTGCCTCAGTCTCCAAAGTAGATGGATAGCTGGGACTACAGGTGTGTGCCATCACACTTGGCTAATTTTTCACTTTTTGTAGAAATGGGATCTTGCTGTCTGCCCAGGCTGGTCTCAAACTCCTGGCCTCAAATGATCCTCTGCCTCAGCCTCCCAAAGTGCTGGGATTACAGGCAAGAACCACCACATCTGACCAGAAGTTCTTTTTTTTTTAATCCTTTTTATTTATTAACTTTTTATTTACTTTTTTACTTTTTATTTTTTATTAACTTTTTTATTTTCCCTGATGGAACCCAGGGTCCTTTCTTAGGGTTCAAGAAAGAAGTCAAATTATGCTCCCCACCAACAATCATTGTAAAGGCCTCTAGTAACACTGTCAAAATGGGTTAAGCCAAACCCAACTGCTTTCACTCCCTTTGAAATAGCTTATCTTCCCTGGCATATTTTCCTTCTGATGGAGAACCTAGTCTGAACTGAAACATTTAAGGAGAAGCACAGGCCACCTGGAGAAGGAGCATATGTTGCAATTCTGGTTCCGTTCCCTTCATTGTTCTAGGCAATGCAGACTCTGCCTACCTTTCATTCCCAATATCTTCTAGAAATCCTAACTGCTCTGCCATGCCCTCTCGAGACTAAGTGGCCTATATCTCAACATCAATTCCAAGAATATTTGATCAAGTTGTATCCAGATAGAAACCCAGAACTGATTAAGAGGTGTTTATGCTTAGTGAGCCTCTATTCTGTAAAGATGAAATGGTGTCTAACACAAATGAATACATATTGCATATGCAGTCATGTGGAATATAGTCATTTCAAGCACTGTGAATACATTTACCCATGCTTCCTCAAAAGCTCATTGAGATGCTTAAGTGTGTTATGACACTTGGTCTTACTTGGCCACCATTTGATTGAGGCAAACCTTTTCATTGAAGATAAAGAGGAGGTATGGCCAAGAGCTGTCTTCATTCTGCCCAGCATGCCTCATAACTGTGCTATACCTCTAATCTGATCGCTCAGCCTTCATTTTCTTCGTTGCTGCTTATGACTGTGGGAACTTGACTGCTATGTGCCCAATTCTTTTTTTGTTTTTGAGACAGGGTCTCACTCTATTACCCAGGCTGGAGTGCAGTGGCGCAATCTCAGCTCACTGCGACTTCCACCTCCTGGGTTCAAGCAATTATCCTGCCTCAGCCTCCCGAGTAGCTGGGATTACAAGTACCCACCACCATGCCTGGCTACTTTTTTTTTTGTATTTTCAGTAGAGATGGGGTTTCACCATTTGGCCAGGCTGGTCTTGAACTCCTGATCTCAAGAGGTCTGCCCATCTTGGCCTCCCAAATTGCTGGGATTACACATGTGAACCACCATGTCTGGCCCTGATTCTTGATTATAACCCCAATCCTGATTTTTTCTTTATAGTGAATACATGCTAACACTGTGATATTTCAGTGTGTCAGAAAGCTACAATAGAGACAGCTGATGATAATAAAACTCATTTCCTTTGGTTAATTCCGCCTTAGAAAATGATTTGCTGATGCTGTGTGTGCAATATGAAGTTTGTTTTTAAATCTCAAATCCCAGACAGTTCTTCTAGTACTAGTAATGGTTCCTAAGAAAATATCATGCATCTTAACACTGTTTATACATCCAAGATGGTTTCCGGGAAATTAAATGGTTGCAATCAATCAACACTAGCTTAAAAATGTCTAGCAATCAGTTGGATTACTGCATAAAAAGACACAGGCAATTAAAATTTTATTATTTTGCCATGATTGTTGTAGAAATGACTCATTAACAATTTTTTTTTTAGTAAAAGATAACATCTTTGCATTTCTTACACGCTCAGAAGTGGGTTGAATTCTATACTGAACCATAAGTAATGAATGTCTTTGAAGTTTTCATTCTGTCTCTTTTCCCATTGGTAATTAACTTATTTTATTTTTAATATAGTTCCCACGTCCCATTTCCTACTCTTTTTCCTACACCACTCTAAAGCAATCAGTTCAAGTCTCTCTGGGAAGGACAATGTCCTAGTTAAAAAGGATAATTAAGGGTACTTAAAGCAAGACAAAATTTATATTAGATTATCATAAATGAAGTTTTATTTTTAAATAGCCTTCTAAAAAGCCCCTGTTGATAAGCTTCTTCTGGTTGCAGTTTATTCTTTAAATACTGTTCTACCAGCATTATTGAACAACTGCTTTCAGCGGGGTAAAAATATCTGGTGCAATCTGCTCCAATGCTCATTATCCTTGTTAAAAGGCAGACTCTGACAATAGTATCTAAGGGTTACATGTAAACCAAATGGTTAAAAATAGGATCCTAATTTATAATGACCTTTGCACTTGTTTATCCTCAAACCTGAGTGATTTGCACCAGAAGTGACTTCTAAACTTTTAGTTTTACATTTCCTCACATGGTACATATTTAGAATGTATAAAAAAACCAATGTACCAGTGGCCTTAAAGGTTGAAGGTACTGATAGGTAACAAAGATTCTCATATGAAGTGTGAATACTTGTTTTCTAATACCAGGCCTCCCTGGGGGATGAACCCTTGCATTTGCTTCCCTATCAACTCTTGGGTAAGAGGAAGGCTCCCTGGACCATTCTACTAGAAGGGGTACAGCCTTCGCTGCCTGAAGGAACACCCACACCTGAGAATCACCCTGCCTGAGGTACAGAGCAGAAAGGCGAAGGGAGGACAGTGCAGCCAGATTTGGGTGTTACCTCGATGGCCAGTTGGAACTGCTCGTGCTCCCGCTGCAGCTGCTCTGCTTCCGACAAAGAGCTGGCATTGACCAGGCTGGCGTTGAGCATTGACTCTCCATTGCGGATCCATCCCAGAACCTAGGGAATCGGGACAAGCACACAGGTGAATGGCCTTCCGCAGTTTCCCCAGAGCTGTTGCCTCCTCTCATGGGGACTTCAGTTGGAGAGCTCACTATCTTTTATCTTCTGTTGGAGAGAGGACAGCAAATGTCACCATAATCAAAATGGTCATCTCCCCAATCATACAGAGTACCTGTGCCATAAGGTACTTATTTTATGTACCTGCTTTATTCCCAGCTCCATGTCACCCCTCTGTCCCAATTTCCTCACCCACATAGTGTAAACATTACTTAATGTGGTTGTACTGTATGCATGTCTAAACTTCCTTCTGGAACATAGGATGGTATAAATAAATAAATTCCATCTGTTGGTATCCTTTTCTTTTTTTATAAGGTCCAGTTCAAATAACAACAACTTATGGAAATCTTTTGCACCTAATCTCTCCTGCTAGAAACAATCTCTTCTTCATCTAGTGCAAGCATATCATTTTGTATGTACCACCGTTATGGTATTCACCACAGACTTCCTGGTTTCTTTATTTCAACCTATGTTTCATTCCCCACTGAGAACATAAACTTCCTGAAATCTGGGGCAATATATTAGCTGTATTTTAGTCTCACATAGTACCTATCACAGTACTTTGCATATAATGGGTGTGGTGTAGTTTTTGAAGTAATCGAGAATACCCAGGTCACACCTGAGCAGTGAGTCTAATTTCCTCTACCTTGCAAAATAACCAAGAGTAGGCAGGTTTGAACTTCAGTAGGTAAACAACCCCAAAAAAGGAGAAAAGAGAAAGAAAACAAGCAAAATAGAAGTAATAACCCATATTCTGGATCATCAGGAAAAGGGGAGTAAGCTATAATATAATTGACTTAAATTATTTAGAGGCCATGGGTAGGCTGAATACAACTTCTATGTGATGTTAACAATCACTGGGAGAAAGAAAACTCAACGAGGGAATATTAGGATAGAAGAAGAAACAGCTGACACTGTCTAGACAGTTCTAGGTGAAATGGGGATGTGGCAATTATCCAGCTAATAAAGTCAGAGCAAATAATGCAACTGGAAGAGTTAGGCTCTGAAAACCTACCTGGTGTCTGGTCACCAGAACATTGCCAAACACTTTCTTTATTAGGGAGTCTGAGAGTTTTCTTGGAGAAGAAATAAAAGCTATTCTGAAAATTCAAGATCAGTAAATACCACCCATCTGTCACCTCATGCCAAAGGAGAAGACACCACTATCTGTTTCAGATTTGCTTTCATATTTTTCTCCCCTCTACTTCCTCACATTGAACAATTAGAAAATACCAAGCCCAGTCTCGTGCTCTAGAACTCATAGGCACCTCTCAAATTTCATCCTTGGGCAAAAAATGACTCATGCCTTATTGTGCATAGATAACATCAGGTCATAAATCCCACTGAAGCTAGGCTACTTGGATTGAGATGTTAATTCATGGCCAAGCTAGCAGATTGTAGATGAGATGCCAATCTGTAAAGCAATTAGTTACAGGAAATAACTGCTCAGAGTGTTTGCGTGAAATCCCTGTTGTCACTGGTGGACTGTGGCTGGTTGGCTAGAGGTGCTAATGATTTTGAAAAATTGCCTGTAACTTTGGGCACTTGCATTCACAGACTGCATGCCCAAATGCCTCATCTCTTTGGGAAATGGAGCTCACAGTGTCCCTCTGCCATGATTCACTGCATTTTGTTTGGTCTGAAGATTCATTTGAGGGTGTCAGAGAAACCACTTCTCCAAGTGCATCACACATCAATGTCTGTAGGACAATTTGACTCCCTTTGGGTCTCTTCAGTTTTGTTAGAAAATTTTTCTCTCCAGTTTCAGCCAACAGGAAGCATGAGTTATAGCTATGGTGGTGGGATCCCTACTTACAAGCTTCCCATTTAGAAACATCATGGGTTTCAGTACCTACTTTTTAAATTATATAACATCATTTCCTTATTCATTTTTATTTACTAAATGCTGTTTAAAAAGGTATTCCAGGACTTTAAAGTGGGAGATTTGATTTTAGGAAGCTAAAAATGCATGGTAGTTTATATCTATGGCTTAGCTCCAGGGTGGGGCTGAACCCTAGGAATGAGTCAGTCCTGGACATAGAACTGGCATAGTAGAGAAATAACATAAAATTTGGAGTCAGAAATCTGGCTTTTTTACTTACCTGGCAAAATCACTTAACCCCTCTGAGTCTCAGTTTTCTCATCTGTAAAATAAGGATAATTGTACCTTCCCTTTCTGCATTGCAGGGTTGATGCAACAATGTGTAAAATGTAAAGTCTGATGATTATGATGGTACTGGTGGTGATTTTTAGTTTAGAGAAAAGCTGGATAATGATGTGATTATTTATACCTCTCTTAATGAGAAGACAGCTTTATTCCAGAATCTGTATGAGCTTACTGGCATATTCTGATGTGATGTAGCTTCCTTAGCTGTTTTGTCATCATTATCCTTTTACTCTGATCACTGATAACCCTTGTTGGTATAATTTTCTATTACTGGTATTTTTAATCTTCCAGGTTCATAAAACTGGCTAGTTATTCTTCTGTGAGCATACAAATATGTGCAAGTTAAGAAACATCATAATTAAAATGAGAAAATGTTGGTTCTACTAATTTTGAGCTGTGTGACATTGCAAACATCATTTAAGCTCCCTAAGGCTCAGTTTTCTCATCTGTAAAATGTGAACACTTTCCTTGCATAAGGGATGGGGTAAAGAGAAAATAAAATAATTAATGTAAAAGCATTTTTCAAACTGTAAAATGAATATTAACATTGATCAATCATTCTAGGCAACAATTTACCTAATAGGTTAGATGATCTTTAAAGATAATTTCCAGTTCTAACATTCCACACTACTTTCAAAACTCAAAGAGTGCCCCTACATCTATAGGGTATCCAAGAAAATCAGTTAGTAGAAATGAAGGACTGAAAGAATATCACTACTTGGGGACTTAAGAGCTAGGCCAAAAGTTCAGCTCAGTCTGAGCTTGAGGGGGAACTGGACATGAAGATCTTTATTGCTTCTTCATGTCAGGAAAGCTCAGCTAAGCCCAAGTCAGGAGAATGGATTTGATTAAGTGGATGTGGATATCCACAAATGGTGATGCCATTTAAGCTGGGCAGGCTGAGCCTTGTAACCATGTAGGCTGGGAAGCCGCCTGTAGATGGCTGTGTTCTCAAGGTCATACCTACAGCAAAGCTTTGAGGTTGTACTCAAGGCAACTGACTCTAAGGACCACTATTGTAGATGATTTATCACAAGGCATAGTTGTTTCTGAAACGCTAGCCACAGGAAAAATAATCAGCTCCTCAGATGGTAGCAGGGAGCCTGTCATATGTCCAGTGTTCCTTACTTCTAAAAATCCATGGTCTATGAGACTGCACATGTTCATCCTTCATGGTTTTATAGACCGTGGCCATATGTCCTCTTAATTATCTCCATTTTGAAACAAAAGGATAGTACTTGTCCTGTTGGCTGCCCCTCTTTTGGATCTACTTCAATTCCTCTCTTTTATATTCAGCCAACAAAACTGAACACAGTATTCTCCACAGGAGAATAAGGACATGCTAATATTTTCTCCTTTGTCCTAAATGTCCATCTTGATTATATGCAAATTTTGGCCAGCATTTGGTGCAAAGAAGCAAATTAAGCCAATGTCTTTAGTAATCAAATAAATATAACTTCTTTCCTCATAGCTTAGAGACACAACATTTTATAAATCCATTTTAGCTTATTTTCTGCTAAATGCACTGCTTTGCAGGAATACATATGGAAATTCATTTAGTTTTATGCTCATTAGGTAGGTCTTTCAAATCTTTCTGAATTGTCTAATAGATGTGAGGTCATCTTCACCATAGTAGTAATTTTCCTGGTAGCTATCAGAGCACTCTTTCGGGTTTGGAGAGTAATTTGGCATTGAGTGGTTCAGGGATCTGCTCCATGGGCTGTAATCAGTGGAGTGGTTTCCCTTCAAGGTCCACCATTTCTCTAGGGGTGTTTGGGCTATCTATCTTAGATATAAAGTCCTACATAAACCCTCAGAAAGAAAATAAGTTGCATCAATCAATTTCATTTGTTCTGAGTCCATTAACATAATTTTTAGTCTAACGTCTGTGCCTTCCTTTCTTTTCAGTACTTCAGTTTAATATAATTTTGGTAAAACTTAAGGTTATGATGGGCCATGATCAAATCTAAACCTTTAATCTATGAGCTCTAATGACATAGTTGTATCATAATCTATTACTGTCCTCTCCCTCTCTGCCCCCATTAATGGCATTTCAATTAAAGTGTCCTTTTTCTTTCTTTTTTGAGACTATATTCAAAAGAGACTCTCAAGCTACTGTCTAAATTTAGCATCACTGATCAATACCGACATCTAAATTAACTCCCTTTTTCCAAGAGTCAACAGCTTCCAAATCAGTATTTCCCGCTCCACCAATTTCCATCAAACACAAATGCCTTCTCTGAAACTGGATCAAAGCGCTCCCTAAGGAAAGAGCCTACACTGACAAGGAAAACAAGTCTGTCTAATGAGGCATGGTGGCTTAACCAAGCAGCAGTCCCTTGGCACCTCGAGGGCCACTGCCCTTTTGCAAAGGGCTTGGTAGATTTCCTGAGAATCTGGTTTGAGCAATTTTGTACAGTCTTGAACGACAGTCCCACGGTGTGTCATTTTTGTCATGGTAGAAATAAGGAATCTTCCCACCCCCACAAAAGAATTCCTTTTTTGTCTTCCCACTCATGAAATTATAAATGGGAATGTATATAGATATTAGTCCACCCCGGATTATTTATATATAGACAGTCTACTTCCCTATTTAACAAAATACTTATCATCAGCCCAGTCTCCTCCTATATAGGATGTGTAGTTGGAGAATAAATATATTTCTATTTTAATATCGGCGAAGGAAAAGAGAATTAGGGAGTTGAATTTACCACTGATACTGGAGAAAAATAAATTAAAACCCAGGAACAAAAGCAAATTTATATATTTCATTTCAAAGTCAAATAGGAATGATTTTCCCGTTATGTTTTGTTCAGATGGTCATTCCTGCCACCTTCCACTGATGGAAATAACCAAGTAGGTGCAGCAGAGGACTTTGATGACCTGCTGGAGCCCTGCTGACCTCAGACAGGTGCCACCCTCTCCATCAAGCTTAGGCCATGCCTGCTCCTATCCTCTCATACATGGTACTGCTGAGGTCAGGAAAACCTCAGACCATTCAGCTAGAAGGATTCTTATTTTTAAATTTTGAATTGATAAACATAATTGTACATATTTATGGGATACATGTGATATTTTGATGCAGATATACAATGTGTAGTGCACATTGTAACTGGGATAACCATCACCTCATTTATTTGTGTTGGAAACATTCAAATTCCTTTCATTTAGCTATTTTGAAATATACAATAAATTGTTAACTATAGTCACCCTACTGTATTATACCACACTAGAACATATTCCTTCTAACTGTAATTTTGTCCCCATTAACCAACCTCTCTTTATCCTCCCCTCCCCTCTACCCTTCTCTATCTCTTATAGCCACTACTCTACACTCCACTTCTATGAGATCAACCTTTTTAGTTCCCACATGCATGTAGTATTTCTGTGCCTGGCTCATTTCACTTCACATAATGTTGGAGGGCTTCTATTTCTCCTGGGACCACATGGCAAGAGTGGGGGCCAGCAGAGGCAAACTGTAGGACCTTGGATTTAGGAGGCCTAGGCTGAAGTTTCAGCTGACCAGTCAAGAGGCCTTGGGGAGCACTAACCCCATGGTACCTTAGTTTCCTCATTTGAAAAGTAAGCATAACACCACTTCTCCCCATGGGCATGTTCTCTTAAAATGAGATTATAAATGAGAAAGGATTTCTCATATGAAAAGAAAGTCCAGTCTTAACTACTAAGTTGCAGAATTTGCATACTCGTTACTGTTCTGGGCCTGCTAGGATTTCCACCAAGTCCTTATAAATAACATGTCTCTCTGGAGACTCAGGTGTAATCCCAGTGTCATTAAGCAGAAACAATCTGGAGGGCAGCACTGTAACCCGGCCTTGCTTGGGGCTCAGGAATTTAATCTGTGCTGAATACAGATCTTTAGCATGGCATGTGTGGGCTATGGCTCAGCACTGATTGGGAGAGATGGGGAGTGGAGAAGACAGTGTTTTTTTCATTATAATAAATAACAATATAATAACTAAGACAGAGGCATCAGAGGAAGGAATACCTTTAATATAAGGAATCAAGCATCAATTAAACAAAATAAGATGTTTTTGGCTCTCATACTAAATCAGTAGGCTTAATTCCAAAAGTTTCAGCATGCTGAGCTATGGTTTTCTGAAGAAAAAAGGTAAAAGCTCCAGCAGCTGCTATAGACAAGAAAAAAAAATGTTTAAAAGAAAGATGGTTTTTTGCTTAGGATGATTTGGGTAGAGTGGGGCAGAAAGGGGCAACCACAGGAGTGATGTGGTACCTGCCCTGCTGGGAACCCCCCCGGGACCTGTGGAGAGTGGTGGTGTGTTCTCTCCTCAGGGTGACCATGGTCTGCTGACCTCTTAAGCTTCAGTGGCCTAATCTATAAAATGAGAATAAAGTTTACTTCAGAGAATGGTTGTGAGGATTGATGAAGATGTGTGTAACAGGCCCATAGCACTCAACAAAATGGAACTATTATTATACTTTTACTTCTTCACCCCCACCTTTGTACAAATAGGTAATTAAAACAATTACCACTTAGTCTGTTCTTAATATATGTATTTTTTGTAATTTTTATTTTTTGGAAACAGGGTCTTGCACTGTCATCCAGGCTGGAGTGCAGTGATGTGATCATAGCTCACTGCAGCTTCAAACTCCTGGACTCAAGTGATCCTTCTTCCTTAGCCTCCCAATTAGCTGGGACCACAGGCATGTGCCACCACATTCAGCTAATATTGAGAATTTTTTGTGCGGTCTCACCATGTTGCCCAGGTTGGTCTTAAACTGCTGGCCTCAAGTGACTCTCTTGCCTTGGCCTCCCAAAGTGTTGGGACTACAGGCATGAACCACCATGCCTGGCCTGTACTATTTTTAAAATGTGACATTGGTCATTGTGTGTATGTTCCCACAGGTTCCTAGAGATCTAGCATAAAATGCCTAGCATAATGCTTCATGCAGATAAGTTATTTTTCCTTTTTAAAATCAACTTTAATATGGCAAGAAAACTTTCCTATAATAATCATACACACTTTGGAAATAGTGATGGTAATTGCTACTAGTTACTGAATATTAACTTTGTGTCAGGCACACAGTGCCCCAAATTAATTAACCTGACTCTACATCCTAAATATATTTATTGATAAAGGATTTGTATATTTCCCATGGACTGCTTGACAGGACTGAGGATAGAAAGAAAGAACAGATTGAGTGACTGAGACAACTCTGGAATGGATTGTCTTGTAAGAGAGAAATCATGCATTTGTTGTTTGAGCCATTGTATCACTGGGTCTATTTGTTACCGCAGCCAAGCTTTCAGAAACTAATACAAGTAGTCCTTAACTTACCTATTTTCGAAGTGCTGGTTACTTAAAGGGGCACCTGTGGCTCTGTATGCCTTACCTCATACCAGGAGCAGGTCCCAGGTCAGGCTCAGCTGGCTGAGAAACCCAGGCTGAAGGAAGAAGGGCTGGGCTTACCTGTTTGACTTCAGCCTGGAGGTGACGTAATTGGAGGCACTGCTCTAGCCGCTTATGAGTCTGCTCTGCATTGAGCTCCAATTCATGCTGCTTCTCATGGAGAAATTCCAATAACTCTTGCACCTGGGCTGCCAGATCAATGTCTTTTTCACAGATCAACTCAATTCCTGATTTTAAAAAAATGGAAACAATTAAAAACCAGCTAGTACTGTGAAGGCTACATTCCCTTCAATATGCATAAGAAAACTGGAATTTGGAAACAGCCATTATTCATACCCTCCCAAACCCTAAATATTCCTCTGTGAAACTGGGCACCACAATGCGCCCTTGTTTGGGATGCTAAAATTACGCCATCTCTTTTGTATTAACTGATCCTTTGCCTGAGGAGTCAACGGATGATCAGTTCCTTATTATCAACAGGAATTACAGTTATATAGAGGTCCATCCCTAGACATGACAGCACCCAGCAATTCCTGCTGGGGGATTTGCCAACACCCAGAATATTCACAAACAAGCCTCTAAATCATACTGGAAAATCAAAAACCAAACCAAAAGACTGTCTCAGTACTTTGGCCAATGACACACTTTTTTTTTTAGCTGGTCAGATATAATTTATCATTAGATGGTAAGTTCACTTCAATGAGAGTAGCTGCACAATAGTGATTTTTAAAAATTCCTTTTAAATTCCCCGCAAGTGTCGCACATGGACAGTGGTGATTTTATTAGCCAACTACTTAGGCCCTCTAAAAAAAGGCACTGTTAGAAATATAAGCTAGCTCTCATATATTATTTATAAAACTCAGGCAAACACACCTAATAAATACAACCCAGCAATACCACAGGGATAATGAGTGCTTATCCATTTAGAAAAAGCTTCACGTTAAAGTTGTGCCCACTCAAGGAGAGTTTGCTCAATGTTTTTCTACTGATTTACAATTAGTAAGCTCAGCCAGTCACTGACAAGTGTTCCCAATGTTTATGTATAAACCACCCAACATTAATAAACTGTCAACCATCTGACCTACAATGGGAGCCTTGAGTCAATATATGCCAGCCAGAAGCTGTTGCCCCATTCCTTGTTTACCTCCTTGTCTTACTTTTCCTATATACTTTTCCAAATTCATGAGCACAGGTGCAAACACACACTTCCTCTCTTCACCATGCCAGTTCTCCTATTTATACGTTATCATCAGCAGGCCCAAGGTAGCCTTCATCAAATAAATTTCTGCCTCAGAAATGAACGAACTCGGAGAGAGAGCAAAGGAACTGCCTTAGTAACCAAAGTCCTTCTCTCCACTAGTAACTTGAATTTGATTCCTTACTTGGCTCTCAAAGACTACCCGAAAGTGTACTAGCTTTGGAACAGTCCTGAGCTGGAATCCTGACTTTGGGCAAATTACCTAGACTCTCAGAAGCCTCATTTTGCTCATATGTAAAATATGAATTTACATACCTACCTACCTCATAAGCTACCTACCTCCTAAACTTGTGGGATTAAATGAGATGATGCATGTAAAATATCTCTCATATACACATATTACTGTATGTACATGATACACAATAAATATAGACCACTGCTCCTTAGTCCTGTGGCTTTTCTGACTCCTAACTCTTACCTTAAACTTTCAACTTTCTGCCTTCTCACATTCATGTCCTCTTGGTTTCTAACTGTCTCCGACTTGTTGCAAGTTGTGACACATGTTGTTTCTTGATTTGGATTGTCTACATATTTCTTATTCGGCCTTGTTCAGATCCTTAGATCTAGGAAAATCCTAACTCTGAACTACTTGCTTATTCTGATCCCTGAGTCCACCTGGCTCTGCAGCTTCTTAGTTCTGTCCAAGTCCTTTCCCTGGCTCCTCATCCAACAATCTAGACCCAATGCAGGTTTGGTCCTGATGCTGACACTTTTGTCTGAGATGCTGAAGAACAGGATCCTAACCAATGATGGGGTTCAGACTTAAAAGCCCAGCAGATAAGTCACCAAAAGGTAGTATACTTCCATGGGGATCAAACCCAAAGGAGCCTGCCAATCTCAACATATGGCTACCTAAAAAATAAATCCCATTTGGGAGATTTCCCCCTCACTCTAACTCACACCGTCAGAAATCCATCACTGCCACCACCAACACACCTGCAACATATAGTTGGGGAAGTATAAGGAAAGTCTGTACATACTAAGGGAAATTCATCTCTGGAGGCAAAAATAGTGTTTTATATAAGGACAATATGGGAAAGTGGGAACACCTTTTTTTTCTGGTGTTACATGGTAATAATTTCAGTATCTTTTCATGTTTATTTTTTGTGTCTGTTTCATAATTCCAAGTCCTAGCTCCTGAAATATCTGTGGGAGACAGAGAAAAGAACGGCTTGTTCTTTTGGCAGCCAACTCCTTCCAGTTACTATTTTCAATTACCAAGGGGATGAGGTAGAGCACCTCCTTGACTGAAATCAAAAGTAAGAATACAAAAATTTCTACCTCTGCAATGCTTGGCATAGTGGGATGACCCCTGACCCTTATCTTTACTTTCTGGAAATGCAATTTAAGATCCATCTGCAGAAGCAGACGCTCTTTCTCACTTCCAGTCTTGATGCGGATTTGTTGTAGCTCATATTCATTCTGTATGTGTCTCTGGTGTTCAGGATGCTGGGCTTGGGCAAAATGTCTTTCTTTGTGAGCCTCATGGCTCACCTCTGCCACACCACATGTTACTTATCAAAGAGGACAGTCACCTGCTTAGGACATCAAACAGAGCAGGCTCCCAGCATGTCCTGAGACTCAGTCCCTGCATTTTCATCCATCTCATTTGATGTTGTTTTATGTGAGAAAAACACAGGAAATAAAATGGATGAAGACAGTGCTTATTGCACCTCTGCATGCCTCAGGAACACATCATGTTGTGGATGGAATAAATGGGAGGAACATGAAGATTTATTCCAGCCACACCTAGAAGAATAGAAATTACCCCCTCTCCCACTGCCCCCAAACACACTGACACGAGTCCTAGTTAAAGCCCATCAAATGGTAAATATCTGTCAATCGGCAGCAGGCAGAGTTTGCTTGTGTTGACTTTACTGCTCTCAATCTATTGATATATCTGTTTTTCTTAGGGGCTCTTAGAAATGCAAAAAGATATTTTTCCTCTTTCCATCAAGTAGCGGAATGTATTTGTGAGGAAATCATTTGTCAGGCTCTTTTTTAAAAAGTTCTATTGAGACTTCTTTCTGATGTGCCCCCACAATTTCCTGTGCCCATACTCCAATCAGAACACTTCCATTGAGGTTGGTTCCTTATTAACTTATCTATGTTGTTCCAGGAATGCAGGCTTCTTGACGCCAGAGCCATGTCAGTCGTATCCATCTCTGCCTCTTCAGGCCCTAGCACAATGCTTCACTCATATCACCCAATAAATACCTAATCAATGAACAAACGAGCCTCTTCAGAGAACTGAGGTCATATGCTGTGGTGGAAAGTACCTGAGAGCTTGGGGGAAGAACAGGCTTAGGTTTGCTCTGTATGCTATGAATGGTGAGACTCTGGGCTTCTTACCCTCTCTGAGCCTGGATTTCCTTGTCTGTAAAATGGGAATCACAAAGAGGACTTCTCAGGGATATTGTGAGAACTAAGTGAGATACAATGTATACAGTGCTTGGCATCTAGTAGGCTTAAAATATTCATTTTCTCACTTTTTCCTTTCCCTCAGAGAAATTATAATGAATACACTTTTGATTGCTGATGGAACTATTGAATGGCTTGTATAAAATGTAAATATAAAATCTTACTGACAGGTGTTTATGTACTCGCCTACTGTATATCATTGGAAACAATGGTGGCTTTAATGCTGTTAGACTGCTTCTCTCAACTCTGCCTCACATCAGACTCAGCAGAGAATTTTTTTTTTTCTTTTAGACTGAGTTTCGCTGTGTCGCCCAGGCTGGAGTGCAGTGGTGCGATCTCAGCTCACTGCAACCTCTGCCTCCTGGGTTCAAGCGATTCTCCTGCCTCAACTTCCCAAGTATCAGCTGGAGAATTAAAAAAAAAAATCACCATGTCCTAACCACACCCCAGACCAATATCACCAGAATCTCTGCGGCTGGGACCCGACCATTAGTAAGTCTTAAAGCTCCAGGTGTGATTCCAACATGCAACCAAGATTATGAACCACTGGAAAAGACAGTACAGGAAACAGAGATATTCCTTCTGCTACACTCAGCAGAATGCTCTGCACTGGTGTTTCTTTAGGGCTAAAAGCCACAGCTAACAATAATAAGCGTTAGTTTGCTTTCCTTTGTTACCAGATGAGGGTACCACTTTAATTTCCTCAAGGAGAGAGGTGACTGTGGTCTAGAGTAAGATTTAGATATTTCTGGCTATGCTGCCCATACTTGTAACATGTTTTAAAAAACTGTTTGTGTTCTTTAAATATTGGTATCAGCCTCAGATACAGAACATCTTTTCTCTTTTCTTTTCTTCTCCCCTCTCCATTCCTCTGTCTGTGTCACTCCCTCTACCTAACACTCAGTTCAGAAATCACAAAGTCCTTTAATGAGGTTTTTAGATCAGTGTTCTCAACCCTGGTTGTACCTTAAAATCACCTGGGAAGTTAAAAAAAATCTGGGTCCACTCCAGACCAATTAACTAAGCCTCCCTGAGGGATGGAGCCCAGACATTGGTATTTTTAAGAAGTTCCCAGGTGATTCTCAATCTACCGACAGGTTAAGAACCATTGTTCTACATCAAGGTTTCTTCTTCCCTTCGTCTCAGCCCCTCAGATCCACATTCCTATTCACCCCAGAGTAGCTTTCATTTTGAAAAAAAAATAAAAATAAAAAGCCCACAGATTTTTTTTCTTTCCTTTTTGACACTAGTAAAATTATTTGTGCTCCATTATTTTTACCTACATCTGTTCCACCCACACTGATGTTCATTCTCGATTAATTCAGCAAACACTACTATTGAGAACTTGCTAGGCACAAGACACTGGCTCTGCTAGATGCTGGGAATGTAAAGAGGGAAGAAAGAATTTGTTCCTTCATGCTGCTGGAAAAACTACAGGAATACAAATAACTTCAACAGAATGCAGCATGTGCTAGAATAGGAGTACAAAATATACTAGTTGCCAAGCTTCACTGAACCCTTTCCATCCTCCCATGTTATCCCACTTCATCCTCACATGACCCTATGTGGTAAGGATTCTGATGATCACTACTTTTCAGAGGAAGGCAAGGCTTAGAGAGACAGGCGAACATGTACAAGGACACTCAGGTCCTAAGACATGTGGCCGGGATTTCAACCCAGGATTTCCTCTTTTGTATTCTAGCCTTTATGCTCAAGGAGAAGAGTGATCCTCACAAAACTTGATTTATTTTAAGAATTTATTTATTTTTAAACGTTGGGGTTGGGTTCTTCTCAGGCAAGGTAAATTTTAAGTATCATGGCCACAAACTCCAGAGATTTCTCATTTACAAACCTTGTATAAAGAGAGAACTTAACGCGTTGTGTAAATCACAAAAACAACATATCCATAGGGTACGTTGCTCTTGTCTTATTCCTAAAGTCAAGTGTAACAGTCGCACGGTCAGATTTCATGGGAGAGAAGAAGTATGGCCTGGCCGATGAGGGCAGCTAGGCTGAATTACGGAAAGTGAGAACTGGAGGGAACCTTAGGAATCAAGGCGTGCCACAGTAGACAGAAGAAGAAACTAAAGTCTAAAGAGAAAGAAAAGGGACTTCCAAAATCAGACTGCTAGTTGGTGGTGGAACTGGACCTTGAATTCAGCCAGCATGTTTCTCTCAACTTCTTTCAGCAAAACCTACCATCTCCCAACTTGAGGCTCAAATAGATGATTCCATTGTGAGGAAAGAACAATGAGCAAATTAAGAAATTGCTCCTGTTTACTCTATTCCTGAGCCTGATGTTAAGTTAAGCAAAGGCTTTTACTTTGGTTAGAGTTGTAGGCACACCAGAGGGATTTAGTAGAGCCTGGCTCAATATTATAAACTTCACACTTGAAAAGAAGCATATAAAAATTCCCTAGTTCCATTTGCTACTGTAAAATCAAAGCATAAGCCCTTATTTAGCATGGACTAAATACCAACAAAAGTTTTAATATTGCTAATTGTCCTTTTTCTAAGACTACAGTTTATTTTACCTTTAGTCCAAATACAGTCCATTAAACAAAGACTATAAATCCCCAAGCCATTTATTGCCTCAGTCCTGTGTCTCTGAAGTCTTACATTCCTCAGCCATTGGGGGATAAGGCCCACCTGGGCTCACCCCTTACCCCATCCCCACCCTCCAGCTCTGCTGTGAATCTACCCTCCATTTCCCTAAGCCCAGAAGTAAGTTAGATGCCTCCCCTGCAGAACCAGGCATTCAGCCATAGACAGGGAGTGAGCATTCCTAAAACCCCTGGATTCATTCTCTTAAAAGCCTCATGGGCTATGCCAGACTAAACAGCTAGCTGTGGTAGGAGCAGGAGAACAGCCAGCCTCAGTAAGAGGCACTGAAGAGGCCAAACCTCTTTTGACAAAGCTCATTTCTAGAACAGGATATTGTGGGGGTGGGCAGCCCATCTGCCTGGGGTGTTTTCACCCCACTCAGCCCTCATAGTTTAGGTGGACACCAAGCACAGCCCACCTCAGTCATAAGCAGTCCTCAGGGACTTTCAACTCCCAGTTGTCTTTCTGTTACTATGGATACTTGGCTCTTGGGACAGACGTTGGCTTGCCCAGGGTCACATCAGCACCCCGGTAGTAAGTGCTGCAGGTTTCCAGGCAGACAAGCCTCCTTTTCCTGCTGGACACATCTACCATGAGAGATGAAGGGTGAGCATCCCTGCATAGCTTCTCTGTCCATCTCTCTGCTAGATGGTGTGTGTGCATTCTCTTATGGTTCCCAGTCGTAGCTGCATAGACAGCTACAGTAAGTACCATGAGGGCAGGCCATGGGGCTAAATCCCGAGTCCAGGTAAGATTCCCAATCACAGAGAAAGGATTACAGTTTCCCCTACTTCCCTAATAAGGTACAGTCTGTGTCCTAGAACACTGACTCCCAGATTTTAATGTACACACCATTTACCTGGAGATTTTGTTAACATCTACATTCAGATTCACAAGTCTGGGATAAGGCCAGCAATTTTGCATTCCTAATCTGCTCCCAAGTGATGCTGGTGCTGCTGGGCCCAGGGCCCACACTGAGTAGCAACATGTTGGGTCAGTGGTGCACAAAATCACCTGGAGGGCTAATTGAACCACAGATTGCTGGGCCACACTCTGCTCACCCTTAGACTATTTAAGCAACACTGCCTTATTCATGAATCCACCTCTCAGATCAGTCTCTGCTTTGGAATTCTTTGACCCTTAGACTATTGAAGCAACATTGCCACGTACTCTTGTGTACAGGGCTTTAAGAGTATGCACTGTTTCAATGCCTATAGCAACTGCAAAGGAACCGCAGCAAACATGTATGTTATGGGATTCTGATGTAATGAGTTCAGGTATGAGCCCTTGAACTCGCATTTCAAACACATCCTCAGGTGATGCTAATGCTGCTGACATGGGGATCACATTTTGAAAGCCACTGTCCTAGGTCATTCCAGAGATGTCAGATGTTGTGATTTAATTATCACGAATAAAAGCAGTGGTTCTTGGCCCTGGCCACACAGTTGAATCACCCGAGGAGCTTTTTGCTGTTGCCCAAGTTCCATTTAGAGGTAGTTAAATCAGAATATCAGGGCATGGGGCCTGGGCACTGTCATTTAAAAAAAAAGTCCCCAGACAGACTGCAAGGTGAGTAGCCCTTCCTGGGACTACACAGAGCACTAGCTGCATACCTGTGAATAGGCCTGGGTTTCAGCTGCACACCTGTGAAACAGGCCTGGGTCTCAGAGGCAGTCTGTTCACAGCACAGATGAAAATTCAAGGACAGACTATGCTGACAAAAGTGAACAGAATTTACTAGACTGTCTCTCCTCTGGTCAGGAGTGAAGTCCCTTTGAATGCTGGTCTTTACTCTTTCAGGTCATCGAAAGAAACACAGTACTTTAAAGTTCAGTATGACTGCTAAGGTCCCCCTGACAATCTCAGGATTTCCATATCCTTCAGGATAAGCAGGGACATGGCCCAACTGCGTTTTATAGTTGATGGCCTTAGCTCCTGTCTACCTCGTGTTGGAGACTGAGGAACCTGAGCCAACAAGGACCCCGGTAGGAGGGCAGTGGAGTGGGTCGGAAGGTAGAGATCTGGGCTCTAGCACTCCCTTGAGATGTGACCAGCCATGTGACTTCTTTTCTTCTCAACCAGCGGTCCTCAAGATCACCATGGTGCTCTCTCCTTCTAACATCAAAGGATGACTTGGGGAGTGGGAAGTATAATAGTAAGGGCTCACTCATTTGTTAGATAAATTTTGAATAAATCTTGAGCAGGAAAAGAAGTTAAATCTGAGTAACTCAGCCGTGTTTTTCTGAGAAGTTATAAAATTATATGATCTTGTCATAAATTTTTATCATCACTGTTTATACTCACCCAAAGACCAGTGATTAACAATTGAGGAGACTGAGAAACAGGAACCGGAGACAAGGAGATAGCTTAGGAGTAGAGGATAGGGCTGGAGAATGCGTGCTGGCAGCAGGGATCGGGAGCAGAAGAGGAAACAACTACACATGTGTATACAATCCATATGAATGTCTGACTGCTTCTGGTTTGTTTTTCCAGGCTACCATTTTTTAAAGGAATCTGTGCTGATTGCCATCATTGATTCTCTCACTCTGTCTGCAGACCAGGAAACCCTGGCCCTATTCCCAACTTCAGCACAGCCTAACTGGGCAACCTTGGGCACTATTCCAGCTCTCATGGCTTCCGTTTCTTTTCTTTTTTTTTTCATCTGACTCTTGCCCAGGCTGGAGTGCAGTCGCATGGTCTCAGCTCACTGCAGTCTCCATCTCCCAGGTTGAAGCGATTCTCCTGCCTCAGCCTCCTGAGTAGCTGGGATTATAGGCATCTGCCCCCACACCTGGATAATTTTTGTATTTTTAGTAGAGAAGGGGTTTCACCATGTTGGCCAGGCTGCTCTCGAACTCCTGACCTCAAATGATCCACTCACCTCAGCCTTCCAAAATGCTGGGATTACTGGCATGAACCACCACACCTGGCCTCGTTTCCTTTCTTTTAAAAAAAATGTGGGTAAAAATCTCTATTCTTTGTATCTGTAGGAATAAAATGAATAAACGATGTGGCACTGCTCCTTGCAGGCTAGATGGTATGCTTGTTTTCATCATCTCCTCTGCCAGGAGAATGAGCGAGGTCACCCACCTGATGCCTGGACCTCCGTGATGTACTGGTGCAGATCCTGTCCCTGCTGGATAACCTCAAAGGTCATGTTGTTCATGGCTAGCTTCCGTTCTGTGTGGCGCTGCAGCCGCTGTTCTGCCAGGGTTAGGTCCTCTGTGTTGAAGTCATTCATCTGCCGAAGCAAGTCTTCATTCCAGGCGTCTAGCTCTGCTGTCACCTGTGAGGGAACCACTGTCATCAGCACAGGCTCACCAGGTCCACGAGAGATTGTTAGGTTAAGGCTCACAATTCCAAGCCTTATTCATGAATCCACCCCTCAGTTAAGTCTCTGCTTTGGAATTCTTCAACCCTTAGACTATTTAAGCAACATTGCCATGCACTCTTGTATACATGGCTCCAAGAGTGCTCTCTAGTGTTTCAATGCCTATAGCAACAGCAAAGGAACAGCAGCAAACATTCATATTATGAATTATGGCTTATAAAGTTTTTGCATACTCCTTGATGTTCAATCCTCACAATAACTCAATGAGGCAGGCATGGTGGAGATCTCCAGGTCCATATTCTAGGAGAGGAAGTTGACCCTCACACAGACAGATGGGGTTATTTACCCTGCCAGAGAGGGATAAAGTTCTTCTACTAACTGCAAAGACTTTGTCTACCATCCCACAGTTGTTGCTGTTACAATTTTCATAACTAAAGAGGTCCTCAGAAATTAAGTAGTATTTCAAAAACAGAAACTGAGGGCTAGAAAAACCTGGTGAATGGCCCAAAGTTACACAATCAGTTAAAGAGCTGGTGTCCATCAAACCCAAGGGTCCTGCTCTGGTTCCTGTGTTCTATTGTGCAACATTCTGTCCTTCTATTACAAAGGTTGACACCTAAAAATAGTGACTAAACAAAGTATAAATGTGTAGCATACCTCCAGGAATTCAAGCAGATTTAATCAATTGAAAGGCATTAATGATTCTAATGAATACTAAAGCATGTAATGAATGCAAACATTGCCTTAATAGCAGCTTGCTAATTGTTCATTTCTCTACACCTTAACTCACATGACTTCACTGGGTCTACTCTCAGTTTTCTGCAAATCGAGACTAAATCCTACACTTCCTTTACAATCTCTGCAATCATCCACAGACTAGGAAGTCAGAAGTACTGAACTAGATAATTCCACTTGTGTGAATCAAAATTAAAAGTTTTTAAAAGTGATTTTCAGATCTGCTATCTCATGCTACCCCGATGACACCCCTTGAAGGCGACAGCATGTGTACTGTCATCCTCTTTTCTCAGGAGACGAAAGTGTCACTCCAGGTCACACATTTCCAGGATGGCCCAGGCCATCTAAGCATATATCCCAGAGCCTTAGTTGAGTGGTTTTCATGATGCTGGGTCTCATGCCAGCTCCCACATGGCATAACCTTCCAAGTTATCAAAAACTGCTGCTCCAGGAGCATCAGGGACACAGGGAGACAGACGATGGATTGAAGCAAGTGGGAGCGGTGCTCTTATATTCCATGCTGGGGTACACACACTGGGATGGGAAAGCCAAGCAGCCCCTCACAAGGGGCTGCTGTCTGGGTCACAGGATTTCATTTTTTTTGTCTAACAACAAGACCTTTCTTCAAGCAAAATAGAAACAGATTAAATTGTACTTTCTCTCTTTGAAGCAGAAATGGGGAAATTGAAAATATCACTCTCACTGCCCTAGGTTCTCACTTCACACCCCACATCTTTTCAGGTCAATTTAGAGAACTGCTGAGCTCAGCAGGAAAACCCAGTATTACTTATTGTGGGGCATCCTTGGGGGATCTGGGAGCCACTGGGTTGGCAGGCAAAGTAGGTTTTTGTTAAAGCCCCATCTTTGAAAAGTACTTCATTCTCTAACTCAAGAAAGGGGTTAGACTGATGAGGCTAAAATAGATTATTTAAAAAGATAATTTAGCCTGGGTGCAGTGGCTTGTGCCTATAATCCCAGTGATTTGGGAGGCCAAGGCGGGAGGATCACTTGAGGCCAGGAGTTCAAGACCAGCCTGGTCAACGCAGTGAGAACCTGTCTCTCCAAAGCAAATAATAATACATTAGCTAGGCATGGTGGCATGCACCTGTTGTCCTTGCAACTTGGGAGGCTGAGGCAGGAGAATCACTTGAGCCCAGGAGTTCAAGGTTGTAGTGCACTATTATTATGCTACTGCACTCCAGCTTGGGTGATAGAGACCCTGTTTCTTAAAAAAAAAAAAAAAAAAAAAAAAAAAAGCATAATTTAAAGTATACATAGGCTTTTACAGTTTTTATAGAACTAGGCCTTTTTCGTTACTGTATGTTAAAAACTGAAGTATAATTTACATACAAAATACACATATTTTAAGCATTCAGTTCTGAGTCTTGACAATTTTATACACCCATGTAGTCATCGCCAAAAATAAACTATAGAGCCTTTCCATCACTCTAGAGAACCTGCTTGTGCCCCCTTCCAATCCATCCCTCCCCTTCCCAACCCACAACTAGGCACCAATTTCTGATTTCTATCATCATAGATGTAGTTTTGCCTATTCTAGAATTTAATATGAATGAAATCTTACAGAATTTTTTTTTAAACATCTGGCTTTTGTTCAACATGTTGTATCAAGATTCATCCACGCTGCTGTGTGTATGTTTAGTTCATTCCTTGCTACAGCTGAGTAGAGTATCATTGTACATATAGGCCACAGTGTGTTTATCCATTCTCCTCCTAATGAATTATTGGGTTGTTTCCAGTGTTTGGCTAATATGAATAAGGTTGATGTGAAAGTTCTTATAGAAGTCTTTCTGTGGACATAGGTTTTCATTGCTCTTGCACAATTACTTAGGGGTGGAATTATATATAGGTCATAGGGTAGGTGTATGTTTAACTTTATAAGGGAACCATCAGATTTCCTCAAAATGATTGTAATATTTTACATACCCAGGAGCAACGTATTCAAGTTCCGGTTGCTCTACACCCTCACCATCACTTGGCATTATCAGTCTATTTAATTTTAACCATGCTAGTGGGTGTGAAGTGCTATTTCATCATGGTTTTAAGTTGTATTTTCTTGATGACTCACGATGGTGAGAACATTTTCAAATGCTTATTGACCATTTGTATATCTACTTTTGTAAGATGTCTTTTCAAGTCTTCTGCCCTTTTTAAAATACTGAGTTAATTAACTTTTCATTGTAGATTTGTAAAAGTTCTAAATATATTCTAGATGTAAGTTCTTTATCAGATAATATATGTAAAATAGCCCAAATCACAATTTTTACTCCATTTTCTGGCCTACAAACTAAGGGGAATTAGAATAAAACTAAGACAACAAGCATGAAAGGAAGAGCCTGCCTTTTCTTTTGATTTTAGGTTCTGTTTGTTTCTGTGAAACTGAGTCTGAGGTATCTATTTGCTGCAGGAAGATCCAAGGAGTCCCATAGCCAGGAATCTATGGAGTGGAAGGTGCCGACGGTCCTGGTGAGGGAGAAGAGAGTCACGTCAGAGGGCTTTAGTTGAGAGAGTGATCTCAGAGGTCTGGAATCTTGGGAATTCAAATCTAAGCTAAATGTGAAATATGTCCAGGATTCTGTACCTGGTGTTTCTATATTCTTTCATCTCCTCTCCTTACCCTCCTCCACTCTCATCATCTGACACCATTGAATTGAGGAACCCAGGTCTGTTATGAAGCCTGGAGAATGGGAATTTCCAGGGCCTCCTCCTAAGGCTGCCCTCCCTGGGTCCGCAGGCTCTCTCCTCTTTCTGTTGGACTCCCCCTCCCTTCTCTCCCCCAGGCACTGATGCCCACAGCTTTCAATTAGTCTGATTTGTGTGTGTTTAATGTATACTGGAATTTAAATTATTCTCTTTCCTAAGTATTTTCTGTTTCCTCAAGGAATGTTTTTTTCATTAGGTTCTTCCTCCCCACCTTCTTTCTGGGGCATAAGGCTGGAAGACAATAGAGGCTCATTTTTTAAAAAGAAAAATAGTTGTTTTCAAACCTTAAGTTGACCTTACTGCTAATGAACAAACCTAGCTTCCCAGGCTTACCCTGTGCTCTTGTTGTGAACCAGTCAGATGGTTTACTTGCTGATGCTGAGAGCAAGTTCTGCCCTCTCCAGCCTTCTTCACTAGCCTAATAGCCCTGAAACGCCCTTGTCCTTCCTCCCAATCTGCTTAAGCCCTGACCACCCTTCAGAGTAAACCCTCTGGCATGAAGAGCTTCACGACAACACCTAGACCCGAATATTTTTCTCTGGCTTATCTAATAACATGGGTCATGGGTTAGTTTGCTAATACAGAGAGACAAGACTGAAAAGAAAAGCCTGTGCCAGTGAGTGAATTTAGTGATTTAACTCCATCTGGAGAGAATTTGTTCAGGCTAGAAACTAGGGCCTGAAGCCAGTGAATGAAAGATGGAACACAAGGTTCCCAGAGGGCATTCCGCTTTCAGTCAACCTATTTTGCTTTCTCCTTCCACTCAGTTACTTCCACCTCAGTTCCCCACTTGCTCTAGTGGCCTCTGTCTCCCCCACTCTCCTGAATTAACTGCAGTTAGGAAATGATGACTTTTTTGACAGATACATTGGCAATATTTCTATTCTAACAATTGTCTACTCTAGAGACATCAATAAGGGAAATCAGAGAAAGTGCCAAAATAAAATTTAAAAAAGGGTAAGAGGCAGTGGGAAATGGAAAATGGGAAGCCTCACTTCAAAAAGAAGCCCAAGGTGTTCCTGCTAGATGAGATACACCAAATCCAGTATTCTGCCATCAAAATTTGCTTCATAGGAGTTGGTTTAGCAGTCACCTTGAGCTCTGCTTTCAGAGAGCTCTCTCCATTGGTTCCTCCTGTTTTCTTGGTCTTCCCCAGTATTTATGTGTAGAGAAAGCTATAGTCCCTCTTCCCCAGATGTTTTGAACTGTATCTGCCTGAATCAAAATTCACCTGCCCCTCCCTTTTTTTTTTCCCCACTTCCTATGGTCTACCCACTTCAACTCTTTATCACCTGCAACATTGGAAATCTCACTGTATAGTTCTTTCTTCAGATCAGTGTTTAGATGTTGGCAACAATGATGAAGATAGTATGATTGAAGAAGACATTTTACTTTGTATTGTGCATTTATTATGGGGCAGGCAATGTGTTAAGTGTTTGATCAACTTTATTTAATCCTCATAGCACTATAGGAGGAAATGAAAGCACAGAGAAGTCATATAGTTTCTCCCATGGTCTCAGAGCTGGTGGTGGTAGAGCTGAGCATTTAATGACCAAGTCCAATGCTCTTAACCATGGTGTTACAACAATAGGGCTGCTCCAAGAATTGATTTTGGGGGATATCTTTCTTTTTACTATTCTCACTTCAGAAAAGTGCCAGTTTTACCCTTCTTGTTTTCTTCTTCTTCTAAAACAAAAACAAAAACAAAACAAAAAACAAAACCCATAATTCAGTTTTCTTCACTTCACATGAGCCTTTTAAATTAATCATATTTTTTTTAGCAGACCAAGAAATTTTGTGTTTGTGGCCTTAGATAAATGCCAGGCATAATTTATCCTTGCAAGAAAACGCACTGCCTTCCTCCAGTATTTCTTTTCCTTTTTAAAAAAAAGTTTTGGCCAGGCACAGTGGCTCACGCCTGTAATCCCAGCACTTTGGGAGGCTGAGGCGGGCGGATCACGAGGTCAGGAGATCGAGCCCATCCTAGCTAACACGGTGAAACCCCGTCTCTACTAAAAATACAAAAAAAATAGCTGGGCGTGGTGGCGGGTGCCTCTAGTCCCAGCTACTCGGGAGGCTGAGGCAGGAGAATGGCGTGAACCTAGGTGGTGAGCCGAGATCGTGCCACTGCACTCCAGCCTGGGCAACAGAGCGAGATTCCGTCTCAAAATAAAAAATAAAAAAAAAATTTATGGAATGCTTCACGTATTTGTGCGTCAGGGCCCATGCTAATCTCTGTATCGTTTCAGTTTAGTGTATGTGCTGATGAAGTGAGCACAGTATAGTACATTTTTAAAGAGTTTAGTAATTTTTTTTAAACCGACTCTGCCAGATTGCTCAGTATAAAGGTAATATTAACCTATATAGAATTATCTGGTTATCCAGATGCCTTTGTCATGAATAGGAAACACATCTGCAATTTGGTATTGAGACTTAAATTGCAGCAGATAGAAATATGATCTGTTCCCAACACAGGCAGGGTCTCTGTAAGGCAAGAGCAAATGACTTTGGCTCCCACAGCAGGTTCTCTGCATAAACATTCAGGGATCTCCTAATATGACTCAGTAACAAATCAGAAGAGAAACAATGAGAAAGAATAAGAAGGGATGTTTAACTGCTTAAAACCTGGAAGCAAATATATATATATATATAAAAGAAAACATATTATGAATAATAATAACAATGCTGACTACTATGTATTAAGTGCTGATTAACTGTCAGGAGCTTTGCTAAACATATTATGTGTTAACTTATTAAATCCTCACAGTAACCCAATAGGCTGGGAAATATTATTTCGTTTCCATTTCTCAAATGAGGAAACCAAGGCTTCAAGGGCAATTTGCCTGGCTGGGTGCAGTGACTCACGCCTGTAATCCCAACACTTTCGCAGGTGGATCACCTGAGGTCAGGAGTTTGAGACCAGCCTGGCAAGCATGGTGAAACCCCATCTCTACTAAAAATACAAAAATTAGCTGGGCGTGGTGGCGCATACCTGTAATCCCAGCTACTCTGGAGGCTTGAACCCAGGAGAATCACTGGAACCCAGGAGGCGGAGATAGCAGTGAGCCGAGATCATGCCACTGCACTCCAGCTTGGGTGACAGAGTGAGACCCTGTCTCAAAAAAAAAAAAAAAAAGCAAAGCAACTTGCTTAAGGCCACACAATTAGTAAAGTTAGTAAAACAGGTTTCAAACCCAGGCAGTCTAACTCAAAATACTACACACTTGATCACGGCATTACTGTCTCTCAGCAAAGGTGATTATATACATTAATCAACACTACATATGTTGCATATGTTAAGATTCAATCTCATTCCAATTACCAGTAGGAAGAAAGGGTCCATGGCATTTCACTGTGATGGGATGCCATTGACATACCTGGGTTATCAATTGCAAAATGGCATCTTTCTGTTTTATGACATCATTATTTTTGTGAAGATGAGGAAAGTGGAAGACAAATATTCTCCACTGCCCTACAAATGCTGGCTGATAGGGAAAGACATATTGCAGCTGAAGAAACCACCTCATTGCATGGGAAGATCTATTTTATCTATAATTTTTGATATAGGTTACCACGATGAATAAAATAGCTAAAGTACCATGGTCATTTACTCTTCTTGTCCAATATAATGTTGAGTTCCTCTCTGCTAATCAATTCTTACAATGATAAGATTAGTGACTTCTAAAGCAGATTATTTTAAAGTTATCATAGCATTTCCCTGTTTTAGTAATATGTATAATCTCTCTGAAGAGTTAAAATATTTGTTTAAATAGCTAAAGACCTTTGGGAATATTGTAAGAAATTTCCAGAAAAGCAAAGGGACTTGGAAATAATGAAATCCAGTCAGTTTTTAATTTTTGGCAAAATAATGTGAGAACATATTGCAAAAATGCTGTAATTGATGAGTTCCAATGTTCAATTACTTAATTTCTATACCAATTGAATAATTTGGATAATTGGATTATTTTTATGGCCAATTTTATGTTCTTTTCTTCTCTATCATCATGATTAAAACTGAGATCCTTGGCCAGGTGTGGTGGCTCACGCCTGTAATCCCAGTACTTTGGGAGGCCGAGGCGGGCGGATCACGAGGTCAGGAGATCGAGGCCATCCTGGCTAACACAGTGAAACCTCATCTCTACTAAAAATACAAAAAAATTAGCCGGGTGTGGTGGTGGGCACCTGTAGTCCCAGCTACTCAGGAGGCTGAGGCAGGAGAATGGCGTGAACCCAGGAGGTGGAGCTTGCAGTGAGCCAAGATTGTGTCATTGCACTCCAGCCTGGCTGACAGAGCGAGACTCCGTCAAAAAAAAAAAAAAAAAAAAAAAAACCCTGAGGTCCTTGATATAATCACAACTGTCAATTAACAGGGTTGGGAGGGATCTTGGTCATTCCTTTTTATACTTGTGTCCATACCTTTGCCTTTTATCATTTTGAGATTTGTGGAACTCTATTCTCCTTTTAAAAGATCTCTCTTTTGTTGAAGAGCTCCTATAACGTATATTGCTCACTCATTCTAGAACCTAGTTATGCTTGAGTGTCAGAATGTTTTCTCCCCCTGTGTAAGCTGAACACCTTCTACTGCATCCTTACCAGAAAGGAGGAGCATATAGCATTTGAACCTTGATAATTTTACTTGAGTTCAGGTCCACAGCCCCAGACCCACCCCATTACAGAGTGATCTGAACATTTCCATCAGGGATTTTTGACAGTTCTACTGAAAACAGGTGACCTGCCAGAATACTAAAGCTGTGTGAAAAATCCTGATTTTTTTAAAAAAGGACGATAGTAGGGAAAACCTCCCAGTGATCCTGAAATTAATTTGTCAAAAAGTCTAGAAGAGACTATGAAATAAATATTTTGTGAGGATTAGGTTTACTTCATTGTATTCATTCTACATGTTCTTTCCAAAGGTTCTGGGGGTACTTAGAAAATGTGACAGTGATCACTAGGAAGAGTGCACAAAGATGACCTCAAATAGATCTTAGCTTCTTTCTTGATACAGTTGCAATGTTGGTGGATTTGGCATGTTACAAACGTGGAGAACAGCAAGGCCTTGCAGTCTCGAATGGTTTTTATGGAAGAAAAAGTGGCGAAATTGGACTCGATGATGGGCTCTTAGATGATCCACAGCTAACAGTGACTGTGCAGACTAATGGCTCTGTGTCCCCCAGATAAGAACCTGTAGTGATGCACCAGACAGCCCTGTCTTACCTGCCCAACTTTTCAAACAGCCACAACATTGATAGTAATAATAAATTAAATTTATATCTATTTTCACAGGCAGAAGAACTGTGCAAAAAAAAAAAAAAGAAAAAGACTAAATTTGAGTGACAAAATATAAAAGCTGACATTGAAGTTTTTTTTTTTTAAGTCAGTGTACTGGAAGCCCATACTTTCAAATGACAACCAGGAGCTTTTAAGCAAGCAAAGACTAGACAAGACAGGTGATGAAGTCATTAAAAAGGTACCTATCTCCTGGGCTGCACCAGAGCCAGTACTCTGAAGAGGACACATCCAAGCCTATATGTGAGCCAGGCTCCATTCAGCAGACAGTGACCAAGACAGTCAGTGACTAGAGACCATGTCCTATCCAGAAAGAGGTGAATAAAATAGAGGATATATACCATAGAGGGCTGACACTAAGGAGAAATCATTATAACATTTTTAGAGTCACCGGGACTGCAGAAATAACTCATACAAGCTCACCATTTTTCAGATAAAGGAAAAGAGGCCTATGATAAACATTTTCAATTATTTTTAAGGCTCCCAAATAAGAGGGAGCAGACTAGTTCTCTCTTTTTTTTTTTTTTTTCCAGAGAGCAGAACAAAGACCCAAGTGTAAAAGGTGGAGATTTTGGTTCAACACAATAGTGAGATGATGAGCTCCCTCCTTTCTTCTCCCTTCCCTGCTAAGCCCCTTTCTGGGCTCTGGAGATATTCTGGTAGAGGCTGGATGGCATCATCCAAGGATGCCAAATCCTAGCCACCAACTTTTGCCTGCCCTCAGGTGTAACCTCATTGGGAAACCCTCTATGAACATCCTGACTGGGCTAAGCATCTGCCTCTTCCAGTGTTCTCTGCAAACTAGGAGCCTCTATCATAGAATTCTTAAATTGTATGATGATTCTCTGTTTCTGTGTCTCCCTGTTATGTCCTCAATGTCCAACATAGTTTTTGCTACATAAGGAGGTGCTCACCAAATGTTTACTGAGTTGAATTTCTATATAGGTAAAAGGCTGACCGAATGGTCTCTTTCTAATATAAAATGCTAAGGGCCTCTGTGTGCAACTAATTGAAGAGTTGAGACCACCAGTAAGTTATAATCAGCTTATCTTCTCTAGGCAGAAGTTTCTTCCTTGAATGCCATTTCTCCCCAGCCTTAGCCTGGCCCCTATTTGTTTTACATGAACCCCATAGATTTAGAATTGATATATCATTCCCTACTCAAATAAACTTTCAGGTGCATTAAGCATACCTCGCTTGCAATTACACAGTTAGAGATTTAAAAGAAAAACCATAAAGGTGGCCCATATTTTCAGAAAGTCCCTTGTCTAGAATATCCTTCTTAGTGTCATTTCTAAGGCTTTCCAACATAAGTATGCCCATCTCAGAAAATGCCCCAAATTATCCAATGATGGTAGAAAAACTATCTTGATATAAATATGCATATATGTGTATATATATTATATTGTGCACATATATTTTATCAAGCCAATACAAAGTATATAAAATTTCCCAGGATTTTCATTAGTAGACTGGTGCTGGAGTCTCACTCTGACCACATGGCAGATGGCTTTGTGTAGTGCACGAAAAAGAGAGCTCCTCGGGGAAGGGGGGAAGGTAGGAGTGTCACAACTCAGTGGCTGACTGTGGCTCATTTGTTCATTGCTTTCAGCACATTTCAAATTATTGCTTTTTTTCATGTGTCCAGTTAAATAGATTTATCTACTATCTAGTTTTAACTAAACTAACCTTCACAAAAAGACACGTGGTTTAACGAGTTTCCTGCAAAGAAACTGCAGTTTGAAGATAATACCAATCATGAAAGCACAAGAGAACTTTGAATTCTCTGTCAGCCACATTATGGGGTAAGGCAACAATGACAATCTAATCTGATCTCTCAAGAAACCAGGCAAAAAATAATTGGAAATTATCAGAAGACTATTTGAAATATGGAACCCACAATTTCTAATGAAAAAACTAAACCTCTCCCAAAGAGCATGTTGAATTTTGAAATTATTAGGCAGTGACCGAACGTTTTTATAACTTAAAAATGAATAAATATTTATATGTAGGGGGTTGCAAGTTCAAAAAAATTGAGAAGGCACACAATCAAAAATGTTTGGAGACCACTGGCCTATTCTTGCTTCTAAAAATATTTTTCATTTCTTTCTGATTATCCTAATTGTATAAAACTTGGAAATGCAAGAAAGCATCAAAAATAAGAAAAAAAATCACCTGTATTCTTACCATCACAAAATAAACATTTGTATTTGGTGAAATGTCTCTTCTATCATAACTAGTTTATATAAAATGTCTTTCATAGAAGGAGGCTGAACCTAAAGGAAAAAAACGTTATAGAACATCATGTTCCACTATAGGTCACTTTGGTCTCCATGGAGTCCAAGAAGGTATACCAGGAATCCAGCTATGGGCCTGGTTTTGAACATCTGACTAACAAATTTAGGATGTTTCACTTTATGTGGGCATGCCCTATGATCTCATTCCAGGTTATAATGTGAGTACCATTATTATTGAGTACAAAGAGATTGGTGCAGCAGCTCATGTGCTATCCTAATGATTACATTAACTGGCTCATCTGGGCCCTCAGTGATATGGCTAAGGAGTCATGTTTAGATTCCTCAGATGCAGGGTAGCAGTCCTCCTCCAGTGTTCAGTAATCCTGAGGAATTTGGAGCATGTCTATCAAATGCCTTCCTTTAGGAAGGAAACCACACTGTAGGTCCTGTAATCACAGACCCTGCCCTGGCTTATGTCAGCATAAACACGCCTCTCGTTACAGAAACCACCCTCAGTTTCACACCAGAAGCTTCTCTAAAAGTTTGTTCTTCATCCCCACAGTGAGACATAGCTGGTATTTGAATAATCTCAACACCCTCAAAAATAACTTCTGACAATCTGACTTGAAGCAGAACTTTTCTATAGGTTTGGCAGGATTTCCAGTTCTAAGATTAGATGTAGCATTCTCCCCAAGCTTTTGGGCCTCCCCCACAAGACAAGGGAATAAGACCCCTTGTAAAATCCGGACGTTATAGCCTACACCAGAGGATGCAGGATCCTATCATGATTTTTCTCTCCCTCATTTTATGAGGCCCTCACACTCTTGCTCTCCTGCATACCAGGTTGTCCAGTACTTAGGGTGGGACGAGGAATTTTTATACATACAAAGGCTAAAGAATGCAAATCCAATAATTTATTTGTTTATTTTTTATTTTTTTCTGAGACAGGGTCTCACTCTGTCATCTAGGCTGGAGTGCAGTGGTGTGATCACAGCTCACTGCAACCTCCGCCTCCTGGGCTCAAGTGATCCTACCATCTTAGCCTCCTGAGTAGCTGGGACCATGGGTGCTCACCACCACACTCGGTTTTTGTTTATATTTTTGGTGGAGATGGAGTTTCACCACGTTGCCCAGGCTGGTCTTGAGCTCCTGAGTTCAAGTGATCTGCCAGCCTCAGCCTCCCAAAGTGCTGGGATTATAGGCGTGAGCCACCACCCTTGGCTCCATAATTTAAGTGTCAAGTTCCTCTCTCGTAACCTTTAAGCCAGATCCAATTTTAATGCATGTGATTTAAACCCACATTTTTTAAAGGATATTTTCTCCATATGCTTTGGATTGTTTTTTAGGAGTGGAACTTGATTTGCCTACAATCGATGCTAGTAAAGACACACTTGCGATGCCCCCAGCTGATGTGAGGGGTGTAGTCGATGTCAAAGTGAAGCTAACTGACCCATTCCAGCGCTGAACCAGCAACCCTGACTTCCAGGTCACAGCTATCTTTTCAAATAAAACTTAATCCAAACCCTCAGATTGTTTCCTCCCCCTTAAGCATGTTTTGAAGCAGACCTGGAATGACAGGAGAGTAAATAAGAAGTACAACAGCAAAACCACCACACCTGCTAACATAATTTCTCCATGGATATATTCTCTCCCAGTGGGCAAAATGGAGCTGAGGAATGATTGCAGGAATGCCTTGGGCTACTTTAATCAACTTAGCCTGTATTTATTTTTGTACATCTCAATCCATATTACTAAAGAATAATGACCCATACCCTCTCTTTTATCTCTTTATTACCTTGTTACCCTGCCTTTACAATGTTCACTACATACACTCTTCACTACATGTCAATATTTTTATTTTCCCACTGGCATTTTTATTGTTTTTCAAAATGTGTGTTGATACTACTTGCCACCTGAAATCCTGACAGTACATTCAAAATAAATAATAAATATAAATAAATTCTCCTAAGGTTATGAAATCAGTTGGAAGGATAGTTAAGGTCTAGATTTAAAGGCTTAACTTCTCCTTTGTTCCAGGACCTGTCCAGAAAGCACCTTTTAGAACATGAAGTCTTTAAGCAAGAAATTACAAGTTCTCCCAAGGAGGCAGGAGTACAGATGTGCTTGTAAGAGAGTAGGGGATAGAAAGATGAGTACCTTTATGATTGCTTTTCTTTTACATTTCAGATTCTCAATATGAACATTTTTGGACCTAGGATTAAAGCAAAGGGTAGCTGTTCCCAAGATAGTCTCTTGTACTGAGTTGGATTAGGATGGGATATTGGAGCTTTCGATATATTAAAAAAAAAATTCCTTCTAAAGCTGTTCCATTGAAGTTTCCGCAGATATTATTGGGAAGCTCACCAAACCCAGAAGCCCTAACTCCAGAGAGATGGTTGGAATGGAAAACAAAGTTAAGAAATGGTGGGTGGAAAGTTGGCTTTTCCCCCTACCATACCAGCCAGGAGCAAACAGAAGACATGCCTTTAATTTAACCCTTTGCTATCCCTGAAAAGGAAAAAGTGCCTTATGTTGGATATTCCTTATACCACAGAAACCCTATTGGCCTGGCTTTAGTTATGGTTTCAAAGCAGAAAATATTAAAAGGGGGAAATTATGTGAAGGAAGACATTACTAATTGGTATGAGAAAGGGGACATAAATTTACCAGAATATGTGATTCCAACCTTCCAAAAATAAACTGAGGAGTTTATGAGATGAACTAACAAATGGTCTTAGCACAGGCTTACTTTCTTAATAGGTAGAAATCAAACTGCGGATACAGGTTCCCCTTCCTGTGGCGCTTGGCTTCTTAACTGCTGTGTGATTGAATCTAACGCATGATTTATATTATCAGCTCTAAGGAGGCCACCTAATTTTAACATCTATCCATTCATAAAGCTGTGAAATTCAATGACTCTACTCCAATCAGCAAACTACCAGCTCCATGGATGGTATTTCAGGAAAATGCCAAGTAAGAGTCTAACGGATAGCAATAAAAAACTTCTTGGCTAGGCACAGTGGCTCATGCCTGTAATCCCAGCACTTTGGAAGGCTGAGGCAGGCGGATCACCTGAGGTCAGGAGTTCGAGACCAGCCTGACCAACGTGGTGAAACCCTATCTCTACTAAAAATACAAAATTAGCCAGGTGTGGTGGCGCATGCCTGTAATCCCAGCTATTCGGGAGGCTGAGGCAGAAGAATCGCTTGAACCCGAGAGGTGGAGCTTGCAGTGAGCCCAGATCGCGCCAATGCACTTCAGCCTGGGCAACAGAGCGAGACTCCTTCTCAACAGAACAAAACAAAACAAAACAAAACGAACAAAAACAAACAAAAAAAACTTCTCAAGAAAGTAATCTACAGACAGAAAGTAAAATAGAGGGGCTCTGCTCGGCAGTAGGGGATGAGAGGGACTGGAAGGAATATGCCATGGTGGACTGGGAATTTCTTGGGTTCTAAAAATGCATGCTGGATGCTCTAATTTCCTTAGGCTACTGCCCTGCCCCTGGGGCAGTGCCCTTGGCCAGGAAGCACTTCTTGGCCCCTCTCCACCTCCCCTCCTGGCCCCCTGCTACCTCGATGGTGTACTGCTCAAAGATGCGCAGTTGCAGGAAGATGTCCAGCTTGATCTTCCGCTCGTGGAACAGCTCCTCCATCTGCACCTGGGCATCATCAAGCTGCTGCAGGACCGACTCGATGTGGCTGATGGAGCTGCTGTGGGGTGTTTTGTTGTTGGACACAGCCGAGTCCCTGTGGCAGAGTGGGGAGAAAAAAGGGAGGGAGAGGCCTTTCCATGTTAAAAGTGACAGAGGAGGAGGGGGATCTTCCTCATCTGAGCAAGGTGGATGTGAATCAGTTGAGTCATTCAATCAACAGACATTTATCAAACTCCTGCTGTGAGCCTGATGCTCTCTGCTTAATGAGTGAACCAAAGCTACATGCATCCTTTTTTGGGTTCACAAGTCTATTTCCAAGACTAGTTGTTCTCCTACTCCTCAAGCAGGATTGTGAAAGAAATAAGATGAAATAATGCATGAGAAAGGACTCTACAAGGCATAAAATATTAGAGAAATGGAATGGTTCCACACATATATGTAGTCTAATATGTATAGTTCCAACACACACACACATAAATCTATCACAATACGTACAGACAAACATACTAAAGGCATATTTTAAAAAAAATCTTCCTAGTTTTACTTCACAGACTCTTTGTTAAAACAGATGATGTCATGGTTGCCAAAATTGTAAGTATGCTCTTTATAAAGCTATGCTAAAGTTATGGGCTGGTGTTATTATACTAAACAGGCTCAGGCTATACTTAGGAAAGCATAGGATCTGGAGCCTGCAAACCTGAATTAGGTCTCTGCTCTGATACATTTAGGCTGGTGGCCCTGGGAAATCACCTCTCTGAGCCTCAGCTGCCTTATCTGTCAAGTGGACTTAATAATTTCTGCCCTGCTCACTTCACAGTTTGCTGTTAAATAAGAGTGCACATGAACTAAGACCAGTAACATGTATGGATAATTATTAATCCTGAAAGGACACAAGTGAAGTGTCAAGTGCTGATCAGGAGAGTAAAGGCTAGATCCTAAGAAGCTGGGACAACCAACAAAGGCTGCAAACAGTTTTGATTTGGGGGTTTGAAGAAATGGAGAAACACAGTCAAGTAATAGGAGGGGGTGCAGCCTCCTCTGAGCAGGCAGAGTCTATACAAACGTAGTAGGGAGAGGTGATGCCTTATAGAGGGAAGCCGAGAGATAAACAGATTGATTTGCTTAGCAAAATGAGGTGGTGATAACTATAATGGGAAAATGATGGTGGCTAAGAAGTTTAGATTCCATAGGGCCTTGAGTAAGCTAGAGCCCTAAAACTTGAAATAAACTGGCACATTCATTATCTTGTGACATCTTAGCTTCTCATACAATTTAAGGAGTCAAAGGACAAGGGGAAAATCATTTACTTCCAATCATCTCATCAGCAGGCTTTCTGAAAGCCATGTTCTTTTAGCCTGTGTTTGTCTCAGAAGCAATGGTATTTGAGTTCATTCTGTTTCTGAGGATGGCGTAAGGCTAATTTGTCAAGCACCCTTCCGTCTACCGGTCACAGGGCTCCCTATTCCTGCCTCCTCACCCTGGCCTGTTTGTTGTGATACAGGCACAATTTCTACTCCCACAACTGCACGGACATCCCCAGGCATGAAAATAACATGAGATGTACTCAGTGCTATCTGTTATGTATTTGTTGAGGGCTTTGCTGCTGGGAGGATGTGATTATTCTCTTGGACTTCTCCTCTCAGTCTTTCTCCATCACAAATTTTCCAGAAGGAAAGGAAAGATTTTGGACCATTTTATGCAGCACTATGTCAGTGTCACACTCACTAGGAATCACAGAGATGATGCAAAAGCTCCCTTAGGTGCTCTAGTAACAAGTGTCAGAAAGATCAGGAAGACATAGGGAAGATGTTTCTGGTGTGTGTGAGGCATCCTGTCAATGTCCACTAAGCACCATTTACTTCTTTTTCTCTTTGACATGCCTTGATGTCAGGGAGGGGAGCCTAGGCTAGAGTCAGGTTACTGGCATAATGAATGGTCGCCAGTGGCTCTTGGTCATATGCCTACGGTACTCTCTGAAACCCATGGAATTTAATCTTGCAGAGCAGGCATCACCCACATTGTTGCCTTTGCCATCATCAAGTAGCCTTATGCCCTTAGGCATTGTGCAGGTTTACAGTTGTTAAGAACAAGTGGCATCTCCGTAGGCCTAGCCCCACAGAAAGTGAAGCCAGCCAAGCCTGTGAAAAGTTTTTGAATAGATAACACAAAGCCATCACAAAATTCTAGAGCTGCCAGAGCTCCTAGAGTGAACCCCTTAATTACACAGACGAAGCAGCTGAGGCCCAGAGAGGTTAAATGACTGTCCACTATTAGGAATTCTCTTCGGAAGCAAATGACAGTGGAGTTTCCTAGGGAGGCACACAAAGCTGTCATGTATTATATATTCATGAAGATAATTAGGGGAAGAAGGAAAAGAGGCTGTCTTGTTAGCATGCAATAGGAGGATTTGGAGCATCTCATGTGCATATTTGGAATAGAAATTATTAATTTCCAACAGAAAAACATGCCAGGGCCTTCTAAAGGTAATTTCTCATTGTTTATTTAATTGGACAACTGGTATGGGTGAAAAAAACCCTCTCCAATTGACGTAATTCCCTCAGGCCCTAGGGATAGCCTGGGACTTGCTGATGAGATTATTTCTGTCCAGAGCTGGCAGAGGTCCCAGCACTCAGTGATTTTGGGATAGGAAAAAGTCCCTGTGGGCAAGCATCATTAGCACAATCAAATCCTATTTATACAGCACCTAGGCATGGGGTTGGTTGCTGAGGGCTTGCTTAAGGCCTCATGACACTTTATCTAAGGAGCCAGTGTCCTTGACAGGGGCAGAGAACTAGATATTGATGCCAATAGAAAGGAGGCAATGGCCTGGGTAATTCTAAACAAATGAAAAATTTTAGACAGGATTTGTCTCCTTAGTTATGTTTGTTTAGGTTGATGCAGAAGGAGTTTTATTTTCTGGGCAGCAAGGAATGGTAAAAGGTCATAATTGGGTAACAGGGAACTGGTAGGACACCACCACACTTTTTTTATGTCTTCATGGGTCCAAAGTCAAACATCAGCAAAATGATCTGATTTTGCTGACTGGGGCACTGGAGGTCAGAGTTCAGCCTAAGACCAGATGTTAAATAACACTATGTTCCATAATGTCTATTTCTCTGCATGAGCAAATATGCCCTAATTCTTAATTATTTTTTACTTTTGTTTTTTTTGTCTTTTGTTAATTTTTGTTGTATTTATGTTACTTACTGATGGCTGAATAACATCCTGAATGATAAATAATTCTTTGAAACATTAAAGCTTTTCCATTTACTATTTTATTCTAGATTCAAGTTGAGTATGGTGCAGGCATTTTTACATCTTACAGATAAAGAAACCGAAGCTCACACAAGACCACAAAGCAAGATTTTGCTGAGTCAAGACTGGGACAGGACTTATCTCACGTCTAGCCCGAGGCATTTCCCACTGGAAAGCTCTGCCCATGCTGACCTGGCCTCGCTGGGCTCCCCGAGGGAGGGAGGCGCTGACCTGAGCTGCTGGATAAGGTCTTCGCCTTCCTTGATGACATTGAGTGTGGCATCTAGAGTGGCGGTCTGCTGCTGCTGGAACTGCTTGATCAGTTCCTGGACTGCATCCACAGAATCTGCACAGACATCCTCCAACATCTCCTTCTGAAGGTCTTCCATCCATGTCCACAACTGTAGAGAGAGAGCAGAGATTCCACTCAGGGAAGATGGGAGAGGCCAGGGCTGGGGTGAGGGCAAGGAAGCTAGACTGGAATCACCCAACTTACTCTCAACCAGTCAGTGCCATTCTCATCAGCACAACTATGGGTCAGTTTGTGTTTTTACATTTATATTCATCACCAGTCTTTGCTAAGTTTACTCCATTGGTGTTGACAGTCCCTAAAGACAGGAATCACCCCTGGCTTAACTTCCCTGTGGTCAGGGAAACCTACAGGTATGATCTTAGAGCAAGGAGATCAGTCATCTTTGAGACACCACTAGGAAGAACAGGAGACTAGAATGAACGAATATTATTTCATCTTTCAGAAAGGAGGAAAGGGAGTAATGTACTCTGTGCACATTGATTCCTAGAAATGTATCATAATATTGCAAATACACAAAGAATGTGGTGGTCAATAAGAACTAAATGCACATTAACTGAGCATAACCTGTACATATTCCATACTATTTTGTTCTTTTTAAAATTGCTAAATTGGTTAGAAAGCTGAATGCTAAAGATGTGGCTTATCTTAATTTCAATAAATATATGAGACATTTTCCCATAATATTCAAGATGATAAAATGCAACTAGGTATTACTGGCCAGACAACTTTAAAAGAGCAAAGTATAGTGTTTTGAACAAAATAAGCACTGGAAATGATGAGGAGTTAAAACTGAATTACTGAAAAATCATTTATTGATAGCTTTTCCTCATCATACTGAATACAGGTCTCCAGTGGCCTGCCAGAGAGCTCACTTTTGACTACTTTGAGAATTTTCATAAATGAGAGAGGGGAAGATGAGTCTGGTGTTTGCTTTGAAACCAGGAGTGTTCACCTGACTAGCAGGAAAGATAAGCTCAGGGCTCTACCAGGAAAAAAGCCAGTAGAGAGAGAAAATTGATAGATGGAGTCAGAAGATGCAGATTTTGGCTTCTGTTCCTCCCGTTACTCATGGTGCCTTTGCACAAATCACTATACCCTTCCATCTCCATGACATCATGTGTAAAGTAGGTTGGGGAAAGCACAAAATAAATTGGTTAGTTTCCATCTGATTCTAACATCTTGAAGTCTTCCCTGTTAAAAACATAGGTAAATGTCTACCTCAAGAATATTATTTCATCGAGTTGGTTCTCAGTATGGTAAATTACAATATGGCCTTTTCAATAAGGGAAGATTAAAAAAATATAGAGAGACAAAAATAGTCTTCAAGATTTTGGACAAGTTATTCTTTGTTCCTTAGATAGAGAAGCCCTAGATGCGGCAGAAGAGATTAACAGGAAGATTAATAAGCTTTGGAGGCCATGAATAAGAAAGTGTAAAGAATGTCCTTTTTGTACAGGTGAGTAACCTCCTGAGCCTTAGTTTCCTTATCTACAAAATAGGAATAATAAGATTTGCCCTGCTCACTTCAAAGACTGTGAGGACTGAACTATTTTCTTATTATTAATGCTTTAGATAAATTTATGGCAGTATTAATAAGCCTACAGCATTATGCTGATTGCTATAGGGAATGCAAATTATTATTCAGCATCCCTCACATTTATCAGCTTGCAAGTCTGGTTGTAATTAGTTCAGTTTATTTCCTTTTCAAATAAAACACCAAACAAGTTTTCCAGACCATATAAGCTGGGATACATGTTGCTGTGTGAATATGCTAATTTCAAATCAGCATAAAACCAGGACGTACAGGATATTGATAATGATAGCTTAATGTCACTTCATATTTTCTGGCTGTCGTTTTTTCTAGAGAGAAAACACATTTTCTAAGTGTATTTAAGTCTTTAGGGAAGAGATGATGGATTCTCTGAAAAAATATTGTACAGAGAGGCAGAGTTTCAGGGGCCAGGCACAGTGGTTCACACCTGCAATCCCAACACTTTGGGAGGCCAAGGTGGGCAGATCACCTGAGGTCAGGAATTCGAGACCAGTCTGGCCAACATGGCGAAACCCCATCTCTACTAAAAATACAAAAATTAGCCAGGCATGGTGGCAGGTGCCTGTAACCCCAGCTATTCAGGAAGCTGAGGCAGTGGAATTGCTTGAACCCAGGAGGCAGAGGTTGCAGTGAGCCGAGATTGTGCCACTGCACTCCAGCCTGGGGAACAGAGCAAGACTCTGTCTCCGGAAGGGGAATATCACACTCTGGGGACTGTGGTGGGGTGGGGGGAGGGGGGAGGGATAGCATTGGGAGATATACCTAATGCTAGATAACGAGTTAGTGGGTGCAGCGCACCAGCATGGCACATGTATACATATGTAACTAACCTGCACAATGTGCACATGTACCCTAAAACTTAAAGTATAATAAAAAAAAAATAAAAAAAAATACAAAAATTAGCTGGGCATGATGCCGTACACCTGTAATTCCAGCTACTTGGGAGGCTGAGGCAGGAGAATCACTTGAACCCAGGAGGCGGAGGTTGCAGTGAGCCGAGATTGCACCGCTGCACTCCAGCCTGGGTGATAGAGGGAGACTGTCTCAAAAAAAAAAAAAGAAAGAAAGAAAAGAAAATATACAATAAATTGTTAAAAAAAAAAACAAAAAAAACTCTGTCTCCAAAAAAAAAAAGTTTCAAATCCTAGTTCTACCACATATTAGCTATATAATCTTGGGTAAGTTACTTATTCTCTCTGCACCTTGGCTTTCTTTATCAGTAAAATGGGGATAATAACAGTGCTTTCCTCACAGAGAGTTGTGATAAAGATTACAAATAAGTTGATATATGTGTGTATACACAAATATATTATCTATCTTACTTATCAACAGTGTCTGACATATAGTCAATACTTATCAGTGCTACATATTATTACATTTAAAATATAGTTTTAGCTTAGACAACATGGTAAGACCCAGCATCTATAAAAAAATTTTTTTAAAAAACACAAAAATTAGCTGGGCATGTTGGCACATGCCTGTAGCCCCAGCTACTTAGGAGGCTGAGGCGGGAGGATTGCTTGTTCCCAGCAGGTCAAGACTGCAGTGAGCTGTGATTGTGCCACTGCACTCCACCTGGGTGACAGAGCAAGACTCTGTCTCAAAAAAAAAAGAAAAAGGAAAAAAAAGATATTTTTGTTGCAAGCCATCTCCAGTTCCCACTAGAGGGCAAAGGGAAAGTTTGAAGTAGTCCTTCATTTTGGAGTTTGTATAAGATCAACATTGAATTTGGTCCTTCAAGATACTAGACTGGGCTGGGCCTCTCTATTCCGTTTTTGCCACTTTGTCTCAGGATAACCGAGGAAAGCCTAGAAACTAAAAAGTCTTGATAGTTCTAAAAGAAAAATAGATGTAAAGAGAGAGAGGTGAAATTGTGGACATGGTGCACACAGTCACTGCCTGGTGGCAGCAAACTTAAATTGCAAGCTCATAATTTTGAATAAGCACCTCTGAGATTTAGCACCATAAGGTAGATAGAAATAAAAGTTGGTGCTACTAAACCATGAGTAGAGTCAATATCCCATTTATTAGGCTGTAATTTTTCTATCTCTCTCAATGTCCCAAAGGTTTCCTCTATGTATGTCCCTCCGATTTAGCGCTGAAGAACATGCTTTGAAAAGAGTCCAAATTAGAGAGACACTTCTGCTACTACTTCACTGATTATTAAGCAGTCAGTGACATCCAGCCAGAACGATCTTTTCTGTCAAGCTACTACAAGCCAATGTCTGCTGGAACTAATTAGGTAAAATCATGGAGTGAGTGAGGTAGCTTGGCAGCAGCAACCACGCGTGTTTTTTCCCCCACTGTCTTCCACGTTGGTTTCTCTCCCTTGGGTGATCTTCTTTACTTTCTGCTTATCTAAGGTTTAACATTATAGCACTGTACCTTCTTCACCAACCCACCCCCTCCCCAGAAAAGAAAAATCCCATGTTTCAGCCATTTCCAGACCCTCTCTTCTTGATCAAAATATATGTATACTATGACCCTTCTTTTAGAGTCCCGCTCACTTCTTGGCAATGGTTGCTTGCTCCATGCTGATATATACATGTAGATGGTTTTGTGCATTCTTTCTTACAGAAACACATGTAGTTGTGGCCAAAAATATCTACATCCAAAAGAATGGGTCCAATTTGAGAATTTCTAGAACCTTGATAGGGGAACAGTTAAAGGAGCCTTTCCATGCCCTACATAAGATTAGCTCTAATAGTGAACCAGTGAGTTCAGCTAGGGCCAGCCCACAGACCCTCTCCTGCTTGCATAATGGGGCAGCCTGAGAAAGCGGCAACTGAAAAAGACAGGAAGGAAGGAGACAAGAGAGGAAGAGCCTAGGAGGTTTGTAAGAAAAATAACAAGGCTTACGGATGAGTGGTTAAGGAAAGAGGTCATTTAATTTCATCACTTTCTCCTGCTGATTGGCTGTTTCATTTGCACAGCTTGGGCAGCCACTGTGCTGACAACAATTGATTAACAATAATGATATCAACAATCCTTAAGGATGTTGAAAGGCACACCATATCCACCTGGTGAACCTCCTCTTCCCTCATTTTGAAAAGATAATTTTTCCTGGACATCAACCACCAGCTTGTTTCTTAAATAAACAGTACAACAGTACAGCAAGTAAAATAGAGGATAAGGCTATTTTTGTTCTTAAAGCCATCATCTCTCTTGAAGACCAATTTAGTTTTGGTTCCAGAGTTGGCGGATAGAGGAGCATGTGTATATGGGAGTGTCTGTGGTATGTTTGTACCTATTTGAGTAGGAAATGGTGTGGCAGAATGATTCCACAAGGTGAAACAAATATAAGTGGGTATTTAATTAAGCTGTCTAATAAAGAGCAGAGGCTGGTTACTTTGGCCATGTTCCTTATTTAACTTGACTTATATTTATACTACAAAAATATCTAAAAACGGGTATTTTGAAAGCCCAGTGACTACAGCATTTCCATGGAAACACAGCAAGGAAAGAGAATTCTGTGATGACAATTTCTGCAGGGCAGGTGCTACAAATGCCATGTTCCTGGACAAAAAGAATGAGGACTCGGGTCAATGCTTCTCCCAAACTTGCTCTAGCTCTCCAGACCAGAAAACAAAGCTGGCTGCCCTCTTGGCCCCAGGCAAAAAGAATGTATTTAAGTTCAGCATGATTTGTACTAGTAGTGGAGGCTCTGGATGTATAAGAAAGTCCCAAGTACATGTTTGTTGCCTTTCTTTTTTAAGTAGCTTTTCTCTATAAGTAGGGATGAATAGTTTTGCTTTTGAAAAATAACATTTATTGGATTGTTCCTGATTATGAATTTAAAATATCATTGAAGAAATCTTGCAAAACAAAAAAAAGCCAAAAAATTAAATCTCCCATATCAATCTTAAATTCTTGGCATATTTACTTCTGGTAAATATTACTTCTGGTCCTTATTCTATATGTGTTATTGAAATTGTGTTGTACTGGATATACAGTTTTTATATATTATACCACAAGCTCTTCCTCATGTCATTAATAATCTTCGGCAATGTGATTTAGAATGACTGTGTAATATTTTACTATATAAATGCATTATGATTTGTTTAACGAAATCACCCAATGTGAAACATTTAGATGGTCTCTAATTATTCAAGATTATGACTAACACTGTGATGAAACAGTTAGACATTTTTAACCCTCTCGGCTCCTACAATAAATAAAGAATTCAAGAGGCCAATAGGATTAAGCAGACTTGAATTTGTAGAAGAAATGAGCCTGGAGGTTATCTTTTTATATCTTCCTCCTGTTTCCTCTCTGATACTCATTAGAGTAAATCTTTTGATGTGGAAAGTTGGCAAAAGTAAAATTATGAACTTTAGCCTGGGGAGTCCTAGGAAGTCTAGGTTAAATCATTTATAAAGGTGGATATTCACTTCCCACTTAGAAATCTCCTACAAAAGGGGCTTTCATTCCCTGAAAATTATAGACTATGAGGACATTCTTTTACAAATTGGCACCAAGGCAAAAACTCTGCAAATTATTATAGGAAGGAAGAAATGGAGGAAGGAAAGAAAGAAGGAGGAAGATAGCCATAATGAGGCAGAAATGATTTATAACAGTATTTATCAGCAGTACCGAAGGCCACTTTAGCAAAAGTTGAGCAGATTTTCCTTCTATTCACTCTATTCACGGTAAGAAGGAAAAGCAACCACAGCAACTCAAAATTCCCTAACAGACTACTAATCCTGTCTTGAATAAAAAGCCAGAACTTTGCCTATAGAGTCAAGAGGAAGGAGTCAAGAGTTAATGAACTCAGGATCAAATAGGACCCATACTTAGTGATGTTTAAGAGGTGATGAGTCTTGAGAGGTATTAAACAGAGTATGGAAAAACCAAACCACAGGAGTTCTTCCATGAGACCATTCAAGGATGCTCATTTCTGTCTTCTAATAATCCATTTTTGCCTGCTATATATAGGTCCTAAAGGAAAGCTCCCCTCAGCAAGTTAGATTCCCCACCCAGCCTCTCTTATTTACAATATCTGGAGAGCTCAAGTCAAAGAACTGCAGTAGATTAAAATGTGATTGAAGGGACTCTTCCCTCATTTTTCTTCTTCTTTTTCTTTTACTTTTCTTAGGAGAGACTAGCTTCCCATTGTCAAGTAAACCCATTTATTCAATACTTATTGAGCACCTCTGTGTATCAGACACAGTAGTATCTCTAGCTACACATCTAATGCCACGTGTGTACTACACATATTAGCACTCCCAATTTAGTGAAGGAGAGAATCACAGCTCAGTGTGAGGTATATACAGTGCTCTGCTCTTGTCTGGGTGAAAGTTGGAAGCACCCATGAAGAAGTTCAAGAAAAAAAAAATGATGTCTAAGTTGAGTCTTTAAGTTCCTAATTTATTAAAGAAACTTTAAAGAAACTTCCTACTTTAAAGAAACACTAAGAAAAATTTGGGAGGAAGTTTCCTACTAGGAAAAAAAATGAGTGTTGTAATAGTCATCCTCATAATTATTACAAAGCAACAGAGATTAAGAGTAATTCTCCCAAAGGCACAAAGCATAAGAAAATAGATCTGGAAATCAGACCTACCTGGCATCCAAGATCTTGCTGTACTTAGTGTGTGGGAACATTTGCATGTGTGTGTACACATATATGTGCATGTGTACACATATACATGTACATATACATATATGTGCATGTATACATACACACACACCTTATTTTCTACCCTGCCTAGCAAATCACTTAAAGGGGACCTCATACAGACTGGTTTGGATGGGAAGGTGACCAAGAGGGAACATGCAGATACAAAGTCCCACTGCATGTCCCCTGGAACAGCTCCTCTGTGACAGCCACTCAAAATGTTGCTTTTCTGTCCATCCTGAAAAAAAAAATAAAATCTGTATGATCAGAGAGTTGTAGATGTCTTGAATAGAATGAGCCTCATAACCATAAACCCCTTTGTATACAGGCAGGGCTGCTCTAAATTTCTCTCGTATTTTGGGACTGAGGAGAAAGAGACTATGCAATTTCCTGATAGCCTCCTGTTTGAATGAATTCTCTGATGGAAAAAAAAAATTCATTCAAGTCTCTGTTTACTAGCCTTTATATAAAAGTCTTTGTGGCAAAGGAGAAAAAAGCATGGCCTTTAGAGTCAGAAAGACCTGGGGTCAATTTCCGTACTTACTACAACCTAGCTATAAAACCATGGGCAAATTATTAATTTTTCTGAACTTTGGTTTTCCCATTTGTAAAACTGGAATTTTAAAAAACGAGAATTATCATGGCTATGAACTAGATAGCCAGATAGCCTAGCACATGGTTTGTGCTAAATAAATTTCAGTTCTTTCTCTTTCTTCACCTGCCCCCTGTATCACACCACTCCTTCTAGTAGTATTTCACATGAATGTGACTTTATAGCTGAGTTCCAGTGAGGAAACAAGTCTCAGGTTCAAACACGACCAAGCTTAGCAAGATTTGAGAGATATCCGGGAAAACAATAGTCAATAACTTCCTGACTATTCCTGTCTCCCACACACCCAATCCTGGCAACACTGTGTATTTCTCAGCCAAGATCTGTCCTACCCATTAAGCCCCTGATTTGGGGTTTAGAAATGCAAAAAAGAAAAATAAAAGTAAGGAGAAGGAAGAACAGAGGAGAGGAGATAGAAAAGGAAAAAAACAAGAGTGTAGGTAATAGGAAGACAGGTAAAATATCTGCTGTACTACTGAGAAAGTCTGTAACCTTAGAAAAGTTATTTTCTGAGGCTTAGTCTCCTCATTTAAAAATGTGTTTAATAAAATCTATATCATAAGATTATCATGAAGGTTACATGAGATGGTATATGTGTCTGGCAAGTAATAGGTGTCCATTTAAAAAACTCATGTAATATATTTTGAGTGCTTACAATAAACCAAATCTTAGGCTTGGTAAATCACCTATACTACTTCAGCTTAATTATTATTATTATTTATTATCACTACCAATAGCAAATAAAGAAGAAGAGAAGAAGAATGAAATCTTGGATTCACATTAGAACCATAAGGGGCCTTAGGGCCAAGTCCAACTGCATAATTTTATAGATAAGGAAACCCAAGGCCAGGGACATAGTGACTTGCACAAGCTCATATGGTTCTTTAGCAGCAGAATCTGGTCTAGAATCCCAGCCTACTAGCTCTGTGTATAGCAGGTGGGAGATGTAGCTAGAGGAATTCCTGGAAGCCATGGTCACTCTTTTGGGAGTGGTAGTTCCATGGAAACTGACCCCGGTCCACCACTTCTCCATGCAGCCAGCACCACCGCAGCCCTCATGAGGAACATGACTCCTGTTCATTCATACTCCATTCCATCACCTACAGGCTCATAATTAAAAGGGAATACACATGGCTTTGGTTTCTGAGACTTTCATTAAGAATTGGGTGAGCCACTATCAAGCAGAGAACCAGGCAGGAAACCCTGGATTAATGCTAATCCCCTTGTTTTATAGACACTCATCAGAGAGTGGCTGCAGGTCCCGCAGAGAGGAAGCAAATCCAGCTTCAGGGAGCTTGCCAGCCCTTCATCTGCCTGGGGAATCTCAGTTTAGAGAACACTATCTTTTCATGTTTTTCTCTGACAGGCGCTGCAATGGTTTGCATTCATTCCCTCAGTGTCAGAAAAGGCTGTGAAGCAGTAACAACCAAGATTCTTAATGCATTCCCAATATTAAAATTCAACTTAATTAAGTAGGGCTATTTTTTTTTTCCTGAGCAGCAATCAAACTTTAATTAATACTCTATTAAAGGGAATTCCTGGGGGGGGACACAAGCATGCATACACCTAATGAGTTCATCTGCCAAGGCTGTTATTAGAGATGATGCTAAATGTGCCTCCTTACTGGCCACTTATTCAATTTCAGCATGTCCCATGTTAATCAGAAATGAAAAGCAATCATAGGTTTGCAACCATCCTCCTCTCTATGGGGCCCCTCTGCTCTTGCCGCAGCTTAACATAATCTATCCTTCCTTCTCCTTTCTCCACTTGGTGAATTATTCAGGCTGGGCTTCAAGCCCAGCCAGCTTCCTTGGTGGAGGGCATCTCAGTCCCCCTTCTTTCAATGCCTGTCACTCCACAGTCAGGCAAAGTGAGGACCAACTTTAATATCACCCTGCCACAGACCTCATTAAGAAGATTAAATCCCCTGTTAAAAAATAAAATAAAAACACAGAAAAAACACATCTGTAAACTCTACATGTTCCTTGCTGGTAGTCCTACAAGTTCTGTGGGACTCTCATTTCTGACAGGAAACAGCAACCAAGAGAAATTGGGTGTGTAGTGGGAAGAGAGTCTGTGATCCTCTTACATTTCTTCTTGCAGTGACTATTGCTATATCAGGGATTCCCACATTTCTCCAGCTGCAGATTGCATGCTCTAGCAGATGCCCCGAAAACCACCTGTCTCCATGACCCCTTTTCCTCACTAGATATTATAGGAGGAAATTTTGCCCCATTCGGAGAGACCTAAATGCAGGCTATCAGGAATGAATTGTTAATATTACCAAAGTTAGGAAGTTAGTAACCCCCAGACTACCCAGGACCCTGGTCAGACCTTCAGGGCCATTTTACTAGGAAGCCGACCTGACCCTGGCAGGACAGAATGCCCTCTCTCCACTAGCTCCCCTTACCTCTTTGGTGTGTGTGTGGAAGGAAACAGACATGTCCAGGAGAAGCTTCCGCTGCTCCACCCTGCGCACGAAGTCTTGGATGCGCACCTCCAGGTGTCGAGCTGCCTTGTAGATCTCCTCGGGGTCACATTCCCCCGTCTGAGCCAACTGCTCTGCTGCTTCTAGGAGCTTGTCCGCATTGGTGTACGTATTCTGCCAGCAACAACAGTGAGGCAAAGTCAAGTTGCAGTCGCGCCTTCCAGCAGCCCACCCTGGGGCTCCCCGGAGCTGAAGCGGAGGGGCGTGGGCGCTGAGCTGACAGCTCCCTGATCTGGCACTGAGGCGCGGTGCGCGGAGCTGGCACGCCGCCTCTCAGCAAGCGAGCAGCCTGCAGGCGGGCACCAGCTAGGTGCCTCATCCACCCCTGGGATTTCTCAGAGGTGCAGTGTCCCTGGAAAGAAGTGGGGAGAGCGTAGAGAACCTCCATACCCCAGCTGCTCCCTATCCCCTACCTTCAAGAAAACCCATCACTGCCCTCACATCTCAGGCTGTAACTGCCAGGATCAGAAATAGCACACCCACAAAGACGGTCTGTATTTCCATGTGAGAACACCAGAAAAACACTAAGTGGGAGACTCACTTTGCTTTTCTCCTCAAGTTCCCTGTAACCACTGGTGTTTATCTTTTTGGAACAGAGCTATTTCTTTGGAGGGGAAGGGATCAGCAACTCTAGGGAGCTGACAGAAGGCAGCGGCCACAGCCAGAGGGAGGAGATGCAGGCTACTCCCTGCGGGCCCAGGGAATGTTTGCAGGAAGGTTGGGGAAGAGTCTGGTGATTTTGTTTATCATAAGCTACTGCATGCACACACATGCACACACAGTCGTCCAACTCCCTATCTGTACACACCATGGTATTCTCCAGAGCATTTTAAAAGGCAACCGACTTGTAATTATTATTCATCAGGATGGGAGCCACTGCCTTTAGAATAGTTACTACATTATTTGCCGCAGATACAGCTTTTCCTCAGCAGGCTTCTCATTTTGAAAGTCTCCTGATATGTCCTGACTTAGAGCTGGTGACTCAGGTGTACATATATTTCTAAGTATCCCTAGAGTTGGCACAAAACTCTAGAGTGGCGAACAAGCAGAGCAGTCAGTATCAAACACAAAGTGAGTGGAGAATTGAAATGGATTCATGAGCAATGACTCTCTGGTGCTTTGTTTTGCTTATGGAGACAGGGTCTCCGTGTCTGTAAGGAGTGTTTTGGGCTCACTTGAAGACCTGGGTGCTATGGACTGAACTGTGCCCCCCACTCAAATTCACATGTTGAACTCCTAATCCCCAGTATCTCAGAATGTGACCTTCCTTGGAAACAGGATAATTGTAGACGTAATTAGTTACATTAAGTTTAAATCATACTATAGTAGGATAGATCCCTAATCCAATATGACTGGTGTCCTTATTTAAAAAAAAATGCCATGTGAAGAGACAGACATGCACACAGGGACAATGCTATGTGAAGATGAACGAAGAAACTGGGAGATGTATCTACAAGGCTAAGAATGCTAAAGACTGCCAGAAAACTACTAAAAGTTGAGAAAAAGGCACAGGGTAGATTTCTCCCTCATATTCCTCAGAAAGAACTAGCTCTGCTGACACTTTGATCTCAAATGTCTAGCTTCCAGAACTGTGAGAAAACAAATTGTTGTTATCTAAGTCACAGTCTCGTGGTGCTTTGTTACAACAGCCCCAGGAAACTGAGACGCTAGGGTTGAAACTTTCAGAGGCTGTGGAGCCAGCCTCTTGATTGTACTGGCATAGGACCTGGGGAAGATGGGCAGGCAAACACTTGTCTTGGCTTCTAGGAATTTGGAGAGAGGCCTCAGGGGATCCATAAGGAATCCTGCTTGAAAAGCAACTTCCCAAGGTAAACATCGTTCCAATGCTGGTGAGACCGGGTTGAAAAAGAGAAAAAGTCATTTACATTGTCCCAATGCTCCCAACACAGGGTTGAAAAAGAGGAAAAATCACTTGGCCCCAACTGGGAAATTCATGGAAAAACAGCAGCTTCATATGAGGAAAGTAGTTTTGCCACTGGGTTAAAGCAGGGTATGTCAATTCTGGAAAGCAGATGAAGGAAGTCATCCACTCATGAGAGACATGCAGGGAGACAAGGGGAATGACAGGCAAGGGTAGACCTCTACGGCTGTAGGTCAGGTTAAAGAAAGCTCTTATGGGATTGCCCACAATTTCTAGTCTATATGCCCACAGCTGATGGGAGAGAGGTATTTTAGGAATCCCTCAAATTGTCCACCTTTAATCCTAAAGAGTCTCAGGATTCCCCCCGCAAGAACCCTAGAGATTGTAGCTTTATATTCTGTAGACAATAAATAAAAATTTGTGGCAAAGTCAAAGTGAGCTTGCTTGCAAATTAGGTTTGGGACCAATAAGAGATAAATAAAAAGCCAAACTGAACTGTCTACCACACGTAAGGTGATCAATTTGTCCCAGGATTTTCCTGGTTTTAGCATAGAAATTCCTGTGTCCCAGAAATCCCCTCGGTCCTGGGAAAATTGGGATGGCTGATTGCTATAATACATACCCAATATTGTAAGCACCCCAAAAGTACAGATAAATATATAATGTATTTTGTCTCAAAGAAGAATTAAAATCATTCTTGAGAGAAATAACATGACAATACATAAGATGGGGCAGGCAGCAAACTAATAGATAATTAGGGGTTAAAATTTCTTGATACGATATAGATGCTGAAGAAAAGGAGTAAAAACAGAATAATAGTAGCTAATTATTATTAAATATTTCGCACATGACAAGGATTGTTCTAAAGGATTTTATGCATGCTATCTCCTTTAATCCTCGCAATAACCCTATGAAGTTGATGCAGCCATCATACCCATTTTACAGATGAAGAAACTGAGGTACAAAGAATTTCGGGCCAAAGTCACATGGCCAGTAAGTGGCAGAACCAGGATTAAAACCCTGTTGGCAGGCTTCAGAGCCCAAGCAACAACCCATTAAATTACCCTGCCTCTATAAGAATATAGGCAGGAGTCTGAGGATGGGTAGGATTTAGTAGAGAGGGAGAAGGGCTTCTCATAGCCAAGCCTGTCTTCTTTCTGCACCCAGGGTACTCTATATTTAGCCCACCCCACAGCCATCATCACACTTTATAGTAACAATGTATCTCCATGGTATCTCCCTACTGGTCTGTGAGCTCCTTAAAGGCAGTTTCCATGTCTTACTCATCCTTGGTTCCCCCATGCCAAGTGCTGTGGCTGGTATGCAATAGGCATTTACTAAATGTTTGTTGAACAAACAAGACACAAATGAGTAGGCCTGTTTGAATAAGTTGAGTCAACCTGACTAAAATTGGAGAGTGGCAAAAAATCAGGTTGGATAAGTCAGTGAAGAGCTATAAGATACATTTTATAGAGAGAATGGAACAATAAAGACAGGTGGGAAGGCAATGGGGTCAGTGTTAAAGCTGGGCCCTCAGCTTTGTCTCTGCCCAGCTCTCTTCCCCATTACTAGTAGAAAAGAGTTTCTAAAATTCAGACCCAATCACAACTGTCTTCTACTTAAAACTGTTCAGTGGCTTCCCACTGCCTTTGGGGTAAAATGTCTTGACACGGTGTGCAATGCCCTTCTTCACCTGACACTTTTTCCCTTCAGCTTCAACCCACATCACTTCCCTACAAACAGCCTATGAAGTAAATTACTTGCATCCCCCAAAACTCACTGCACTGAATCTTGCCTCTGTGCCTTTGCACATATTCTTCTTCAGCCTGAGATGCCCTTCCCTTCACTCTTCTATTTGACCAACTCTTATTCATTCTTTAAGACCCAGCAAGGGCATTGCTTCTTCTAGGAAGTCCACCCTCATATCCTCTTCTCTCCCAAGGCTAGCTTATGTGCCCTCCTCTGGACTCCTAGATTGATCTATACCAACCCTCTCCATGGTACCTGCTACTTTCTAGTGCAAATTTTTGTCTTTCTCATCTGCTTAGGGGCAGATAATGTCTTTCATCTCTTTCCCTTAGTGTCTGGCACCTAGTAAGTCTCCATAGATATTTAGTAAATGAATGAATGATTTAAAGACGATATCAACCTCCACCAATGTTAATATTCAACCCTCACTCCTCATCAACTACCTGGTACAAGACCTTACATGCTAGAATTCATGTTCAATGTTCAATTTTATTTGGTATATCCTACCTCCTGGCACAGCCTTGAAATAGAAATGTGTACAGAAAATATCAACTAAAGTATTACCAAAGCAATACTTTGACTCTTGTCAATACCCCCAAATTGGGGCAAGGATCACAACAGGTTTCTGCTCACTTTCTGACCAAATCAACAACAGCTTTTGACTCAAAGCCAGAGTCTGACCTTGCTCTGAACATATTTCCTAGGCATTCTTTGGTTTCCCAGTCTCCTAGTCTCTGCCTTGGACTTGACCCCTTATTGACATTTCCCAACAGATATGCCAAAAATGGGTTATGAGTGCTGGTGTATAGATCCCTCAGCTGTTGGAGCTTTCAGGTAGGACCTGTGGTAGACAGAGCCCCTCATTCAGAGATATGGGCCACACTGATGGCTACAGTTCCTGTTCTTCCCTCTCCAACACCCCATGACTGTGTCAACCAGGTATGATGCCCTAAATAATTCAGCCCTTAAGTCTAACTTCAAACACTCTGCTGAAGCCTTGGCCCATTACTTTTAAATTTTCTCCCCAGGGAAGAAACAGAACATTCTAGGATAATTTGTCTCTGAATTCCAGCAATACAGGTATGTTTTCAGATTCCCTGGGCTGAGGCGGAGAAGCAGGAAGCAGGCTTTTTAAAGGCAAGGGGTGGGAGAGACAGTGAATAAAAACACTCTAGAATCAAGAGGCTACTTCCTTGGTAATATGAAGTGAGAATCTTGGCTTTATACCTGGGAATGAGGAGGATGAGGCCTGAAAGTCACCCTTACTATTCAAAAGAGGCAATGTAGATTGAAGAATGAGACTACCAGAGGAGTAGGAGAAAATGCCCCTCACAGTGGTTATTTTTTTCAGGCCAGCATGGCTGAAACCAATACGTAATGAGATGAAAGGAAAAAAAATATGTAAGCATTAAAGACAAAGGAGACACAAAAGCATAGGCATTGGGGAGGGCAGCAATCAAGATAACACCCAAAACCTTACATTTGAATAGTACTTTACAGCTGACAAATCTCTTTCACCTTCCTTCTTTACCCTCTCTGGGGCAGACCTGCAAAGAATCCATGTGTGAGGAAACTACCTGAGGCTAGAGAAAGAACCATCTGAAAGAATTAGAGATAACAGTGCCTAGCACTCATACAGTTAGAAATAGCACCTGCTCCCACCAGTCAGCCTGGAAAACCTCATGGTTCATGGGATGTTGGATGGAGTACCCAGAAGGGTCAGAAGGGTAAATAAGTAGACTTAGAATGAGAACTGCTCTGGTCCTGCCTAGTACATTTTAAGAGAACGACCTGAACAGATCAATTTTTTTCCATGTAACTTTATTGTGTCTCAGAATAAAGCTTAAGAATATTTATAGGAATATAGAAATATCCACAACTGACAAGGTAAAACTCACGATGTCTGGTATCTAGTAAAAAATTACCAGGCGTGCACATAATCAGGAAAATCTCACCTATGAGAAGGAGAAAAATCAATCAATGAAAACTGACCCAGAGCTGAAATAGATGTTAAGATTAGCAGACAAGTATTTTAAAATGGTTATTATAATTGTATTCCATATGTTCAGATAGTTAAGAAATAAAAAAATTTTTAAAAAATCCCTTGTACTTTTAAAGATGAAAAACATTAGACTGTATTAACAGTAGGTTAGGCTTTGCAGAAGATAAAATGACTGAACTTGAAAACTGCAATAGTAAGTATTTAAACTAAAATACTGAGAGAAAAAATTAATTTTAAAAATAAAGCATCTGTGAGCTATGGGATAACTTCAGACAGGCCAATATCCATGTAATTGAGATTCCCTAGGAGAAGAGGAGGGTATTGGAAAAGATACCTAAAGATATAATGACCAAGAAGTTTTCAAATATAACAAAAACTATAAATCCAAGAAACCCAACAAACCCTCAACACAAGAAACACAAAGAAAACTACACCAAGGAACATAAAAATAAAATAAAGTGGCAAAAAAGGGAAAGAAAAGAAAATCTTTAAAGTAGACAGAGGAAAAAAAGACAAGCTATATACAGAGGAACAAAGATAAGGATGATAGCAGACTTGTTATTGGAAACAGTGCAAGCAGACAGTGGAGCAACATCTTTAAAGTACTAAAAGAAACAAAACAAAACAAATAAAAAAAAAAACAAAACCTGGGAATTCTGTGCCCAGCACAAGTATTTTCAAAAACAAAAGTGAAATAAAGACTTTTTCAGATATACAAAGATGAAAGAATTCTTCACTAGCAGATTTGCAAGACAAGAAATGTTAAAAGAAGTCCTTCAGGAAGAAAGAAAATGGTATCAGATGGAAATACAGATCCATACACAGGAATCAAGAGCACTGGAAATACTACAAGGGTAAATAAGGTTTTTTTCCTCTTATTATTTGAATCTATTTAAAAATAATTGATTGTTTAAAAACTAATGATAACAATGTAGTGTGGGATTTATGGTACATATATAAGTAAGGTATATGACAACAGCACAAAGACCAGGAAGGGAGGGATGGAAGTATACTATTGTAAGGTTCCTATACTTTATGTAAAGTGGTATAATACCACTTGAAGGTAAACTGTGATAAGTTAAAATACTATAAACCCTAAGGCAACCATTAAAATAATAAAGAGTTATAGTTGATCAGCCAACAAAGGAAGTCAAATGGGATCATAAAAATATTAAATTAATCCAAAAAAGCAAAAAAAGGGAGGAAAAGCAACAGATGAAACAAATAGAAAAGAAAAAAACAAGGTGATAGATTTAAATCTAAACATATCAGCAATCACATTAAATATAAATTGTCTAAATAACACAATCAAAAGGCAGAGATTGTCAGATTAGATAAAAAAGCAAGTCCCAATTATATGCTGTCTACAGGGAATGCACTATAAGTACAAAGACACAAGTAGGGTAAGAGTAAAAGGACAGAAAAAGATACAGCATGATAACACTAGCCAGAAAAAAAGCTGGGTGGCTATATTAATATCAGACGTAGTAGATTGCAGAGTGAATAACATTACCAGGAAAAAATGAATAATATTATCATTTGATAATGATCAAGGGGTCAATTCATCAAGAGGATGTAATAACCCTAAACAGTTATGCTTCTATCAACAAAAGTTCAAACTATGTAAAGACTGATTAAACCCACAAGGAGAAATAGAGAAATCCATAATTATAGTCAGAGATTCTATGCCCCCTCTCAGTAATTAATAGAACAAGTAGACAGGAAATTTGTAAGGATATAGATTTGAACACTCTCAACCAACGTGGTCTGACATTTGTAGGACACTCCACCCCCACCCCAACAGCTGAACGCATATTCTTTTCAAGTGCTCACAGAATATTTACCAAGATAAACCATATTCTCAGCCATAGAATGAGTCTCAACAAAGTTAAAGAGATGCAAGTCATACAACATATTTTCTCTGACTATAATGTAATTAAATTAGAAATCAGTAACAGAAATATTACCAGAATACTCACAAATTATTGGAAACTAAATAACACATATCTAAATAACCCATAGGTCAAAGAAGGTGGCATCAGTTAACCAGGTGTCCATAGTATGCTATGCATTGTGTTAGGTTCTTTATCGACATTATCTGTAAGCATTGGGATCAATCATAAGATAGGTATTATTAATTTCATTTTACAAATGAGAAAACTGAGGCTCAGAGACGTAAAATAACTTGTTTAAACAATGTTTTATAACTAGAAAATGGCAAGCCGAGTCTCTCTAACTATAACTTCCAGTACTTTTCACTGAAACATGTACTTCTCCAAAACTCACTATAAAATCTCCAGCTCTTCTGCTTCTTTATTACTTTGAATTACATTCATTCTTGGGCCTTTGGTTTTTAAATTATGACATTGTAATTGTGCACGTGCAACAGCCTTTTTTTTTCTTTTGCAATACACTCCTTTTGTGTGCATGTTGTCTTCTAAGGAGAATTGTATTCACTTTAAAGGAAAGAGTCCATCTTACTCATCTTTTCTATCTCAACTATTCCTCGATGTACCTAGTGGGCATAGTGCTCTCCTTTCAATAGTCACTCAACCCAAAAACTCTGCAGTTCAGCAGCTTGTCAGCAGTAAGGTGTCACATTTCCCAGTTCCATTTAGCACTCAGAATGTGTTTGCCATGTAAATGAAGGTTAGGATCCCAGGATAAAATAAAGCAATTCAGTTGAGCACATAATAGGTTTAAAATATAGTACTGACATAGCACATTGTCTATGATTAAGGAGGGTGATATAGAAAAATGCTTTTCAGTTTTCATCCTAGAACTCCAGGAATATATTTCTCCTCCATCTGTTGGCTCTTGTAGTGGGGAAGGGGATGAATTCTGGGAATGGCAAAGTGGTCTTTGGTGGAAAGAAGTAAGAAGAAACAGAGGAAATTACTTCTGGGTACCAGTGATGGTTTGACCCACCACATTACAACTGCTGAAAGAACAATATCTTCTTAGGTGCCCTGAATAAGGGAACAAGTAAGTTCCCTCCATTAGAACAACTTTATGTCCAAATAAGAAGTGTCTAAGGAGTACCCTAAAGAGATGCACCTTAAAGTTGAAGACTATGTATATAAATCTTCAGTTACTAATTGGGACTGATACTAAAAATAACTATTGCAGGTGCCAATACCTCCCAACACAAGTAGTTTCGGTACTGAGACTATCTCTGAGGACTTAAACACCAACTTTATCACATTTACATACGTAATAATCACCCTGTCCATTCTCACACATCTCTACTTGCTGGAGACTATTTTTCTTTATATCTAAAATGCTTTAGCACCTTTTCCTATAAAAGGCATATTTTTAGAACTCCACATTTTTTTTAAAGTAAAGTTTTATTTTCCTACAGTCCAACCGTGTGTGTTTAGGAAGGTACATGGGCCTAGAAATTCTGAGAAAATTATAGTAGTTGTTCTTTGCTGGGGTGCTCTCTTTCACTGATCCCTTTTCTTTCTTTCTCAATAACTCTCTTCATTTACATATTATTGCTTTAAAGGACCTTCAAAATATTCCCTCCTGACTATAAACTAGAAGCTAAATATCTGGTCACTCTGAGGCAGGAAAGCAAAAGAAATAATTAACTGTTAACATTTTATCCATGCAATAACAACAACAATAAAATACCTTGTTTGTGGATTAAAAGGCAAAGTCAATCCTAGAGGTTGCCAATACTAGTTACAAGGTATAATTTGACAGATAACACCAGGTCCAGACTGTAAGAAAAATACAGTCCAGATTCCAGAAAACATGGCCACCCTCTGGGGCCTGAGACATATAGCAGGGAAAGATTCTGTCCCTGACCTCTCCCCACCTAGCCCACCAAGGAATGGGGAGCTGTGGAAGGCAGAGTCAGGGCTGTAAGCTGGGCCTAGGGGAGCCAGGACTAGCACTTAGAATGGGACACAAAGAAGATGGTGCAGAGAGCAAGGGGACTAGAGGCCAGAGGTTGGCCCAGAGCTGCTTCCTGAGACAAACCAGAGGGAACAATAGACAGCAAAGATAGCTGAGCAATTAGGAGACCAAAATGAGGCGTGCGCTATGCAGACACGGAGCTCTGAAGACTGGAGGAAGGCTTCCTCCTTTTCCCACTGAGCAGGCCCCGGATATAGCCAGCGGGTATTCATATTGCTGCTCGGAAGCAACCCATCTCTCCTGGAATTTGATAACATAATCTCCACTCCTCTGGTCACCCTCTCCCTTCCCTCATTTCCCTCTCTCTATTGGAAATGGCAAAACAATGAAGGGGAACATGTAGCCACAACATAAAAATGTGGACAAAAATATTTTAAAAGTGAAGAAGATAGACTTAAATATACAGATGTGGATACATAGACTGCCCAGTGACCCCATCTCGGCAGAAATTCATTCTTGCATGGAATTCCTGAAGCCAAAGAAACAAGCAGTTGGTGAGACAGCATCCCCATGGAACAGAATAAGGCTGCCTGCTGCAAGGTTTGGCAATTCAAGAGGTATGGGGGGAAATGTACCCACAGCAATGTTCTCTCTCAAAAGATGTAACTTTGCAGTGTTGCTGTTTTTCCTGTTTTCTGTATTCTATGTTTGGCTGGCAGTGGGAGGGAGTGGGTGTCAGAGAGAGAAGACTGGGCTTTGGAGAGACAAGACAGTTGGCTTGAAAATACTGCTGAAAACTGTGGGGCTTGTGGATTTATTTTTCTCTCCTGTTCCATTCCTAACGGAGGAAAAGAGGAAAAGGCTGTTCCTGACGTGGAAAGGTGGGTCAGATGGTGAGGTGACCAAATCAGAGGGTTTGGCCACACTTCTGCTTCTATCCCTGTTAGCATAGTGCTCTTTCAAGTCCTTTCACCCTGTTTTGGTCACATATATCTCTGTTGCCTGAGGTTATGCCTATATACATCTGTAGGAAGCCCACAGCCTCTGATATAAGAGCAAAGGTACCTGACCCTCTTAAAGACGATGCTCCTGCTCCCTTTCCACCTTCCCAGACTCTGGACTCTTTTTACCTTAGACCATTCATGCTGCTATAACAAATGCTTTACAATGGGTGGCTTATACATAACAGAAGTTTATTTCTTACAGTTCTAGAGGCTGAGAAGTCCAAGATCAAGGTACCCACAGATTCAGTATCTGGTGAGGGCTTCAATTCCTGGTTCACAGATGATCTTCTCACTGTGTCTTTATATGGTAGAAGGAACTAGCTAGCTTTCTAGAACCTCTTTAAAAGGGCACTGATCACCTCCCAAAGTTCCTGCCTCATAATACAACCACATTGGGAATTAGGTTTCAATATATACATTTGGAGGAAACACAGACATTCAGACCATACTGCTACTTGCCCTGGGTTTTACCTTAGTTAACCTCCCTGGGCTTGGTCCACAGATTATGTGGAACAGAGTTTCTCAACAGTAACACCATTCACATTTTGCACTGGATAATTCTTTGCTTGTGGGGCTCTTGTGGGTTGAATTCTGTCCCTGCAAAAAGATATGCTGTAGCTCTAACCCCAGTACCTTAGAATGTGACCTTATTTGGAAATAACGTTGTTGCAGATATAATTAGTTAAGATGAGATCATACCGAAATAAGGTAGGCCCATAGTGTGGTATGACTGGTGTTCATTCATATAGAAAGATGTCCAAATGAAGATACAGACATACAGGGAGAGCAACATGAAAGCTGAGGTTGGAGTGGTGCAGCCACATGCCAGGAAACAGCAAAGCCACTAGCAAGTCACTGGAAGCTAAGAGAGAGGCCTGGAACAGATTCTCCCTCACAGCCCTCAGAAGGAACAACCCTGCTAACACTGCAATCTCAGACTTCTAGCCTCCAGAACTGTGAGACGATAAATTTCTGCTGTTTTAATCTGTGCGGATTGTGGTACTTTGTTACAGTAGCCACGGGAAACAAACACGGGCTGTCCTGTGCACTGTAGAATGCTTAGCAGCATCCCTGGAATCTACCCACAGGATGCCAATAGCAACCTCTTCCCCAGATGTAATAATCAAAAATGTCCCCAGCTACTGTCAGATGTCCAGGTGGGGTAGAAGTCGGGGGGAGACAAAAATTGCCTTCCAGTTGAGAACCACCATTTTAGACCATAAGACCATAGAGGAAGCTGTATTGAGAAAGATCATACAACCTTCCCAGTTTACAGTATTTTTCTGATAATCCTTCAGATGGCAGAAACCTTAAGGAATCCTCTAATCCGTGGTTCTCACAGGACAGGGGGAGGAGGTTAGGGGGTTGAGGGCCAAGGGGTATGAGGGATAAAGAAAGGAGCTTGGAGGGACAATGCAGGGCCCAGGCTCTGCTCCAGGTTATGTAAATTAGGATGGGCTGGGGGAGGGAGTTGCGGGAATGTCTGGCAGCCACATGTTTTAAAAGCTCCCAGGTGACTCTAATTGTAGCCACTCATCTACCATTGAAACCGCTCATCCAAGGGAAGGGCTCAAAGCCTGGGCTGAAATTCCAACATGAGAGAAATCTAGTCTTTTGCCTTGAAATTGCTCAGAACTTAGGACAGTGATCTATTTAACACTTTGTTTGGCAGTTTAAAAATAGTAACTGTGGGTTATAGAAATGAAAACCAGAAATGACCAAAATGCTCAACAATACAGAATAGTTCACTACACTGTGATAACACGTGATAGAGTATTACCCACTCACTACAATTATGTTTTTGAAGAATATTTAATGAAAAATAAATAATAAATAAAAAAATAAATAATAAAAAAGTTCTTAATGTAATGTTAAATGAAGAAGTCAGAATAAACCAAAGTATGGTTCTAATTTTATTACCAAAAAAACTTACTACTGATAATGATAATGATTATGCTATTATATTATAGATAAGAAAACTGAGGATTAAAAATGTAAAAGAAGCTCACATAAATAGTTGATGTTGATCTGGAATTCACATTTGTTTGATCCTGGGCAAAACAATCTTAGTATTCTGCTGTGCTAAATGGAAATTTATCAATAAATATTAATAATGATTATGTCTCAGTGATAGAGATAAATTTTCTTTTCCACTATTTCCTTGCTTCCTAATTATTCCATGGTGAATATGTATTAGTTTCATAATTAGAAAAAATGGAAAAAATCACTTAAATATAAAAATTATATGCAGGGCATTGTTTAGAAATTACTCCAATGAAGAAAATGTGGTACATATGTACAATAGAGTAGTATTCAGCCATAAAAAAGAATGAGATCCAGTCATTTGCAAAAACGTGGATGGAACTGGAGGTCATTATGTTAAGTGAAATAAGCCAGGCACAGAAAGACAAACATCTCATGTTCTCACTTATTTGTGGGATCTAAAAATCAAATCAATAGAACTCAGGGACATAGAGAGTAGATGGAAGGTTTTTAGAAGCTGGGAAGGGTAGTAGGGAGTTGGGGGTAAGGTAGGAATGGTTAAGAGCTACAAAAAATAGAAAGAATGAAAAAGACCTACTATTTGATAGCACAATAGGATGACTATAGTCAGTAATAACTTTATTGTATATCTTAAAACAACTTAAAGAATTTAATTAGATTGTAACTTAGAGGCTAAATGCTTGAGGGGATGGACACCCCATTCTCCATGTTGTGTTTATTTCACATTGCATGCCTGTATCAAAACATCTCATGTACATCATAAATATATACACCAATATGTACCCACAAAAAATTTAAACATAGTAAAAAATTTTTTAAAGAAATTATTCCAAAAAGTAAGCAGAAACATTTGTTTTGCAAATGTTTCCTTATTTTTGTAAGAAGAAAGGTGTGTAAGACTATTGGTAGGAAGGTAAATTAGTATAGCCATCATGGAAAACAGTATGGAGTTTCCTGAAAAAAATAAAAATACAATTACCATACAACCCAGCAATTCTGTTACTGGATATATATCCAAAGGAAATGAAATCACTATGTTGAAGATATGTCTTCACTCTCATGTTTACTGCAGCACTATTCACAGTAGTCGAGATATGAACTCAACCTTCAAGATATGAACTCAACCTTCGTGCCCATCAGTGAATAAATGGATGAAGAGGACAAAGGGTCTTCAAAAAGTTCATAGGAAATGTGTAGTACTTAAAAGGAAACTATGCATGGATTTCAACTTTTTTACACCAAAATAAACTCATACTAACTTGTCATAACATACCTGAACAGGAAGTAGTTTGAGGTACTAAGAAGGATAAGACATCAGTTTCAAACAGCCCCAATCAGAGCAACATGAATTCTGCTAAAATTGAAGCAAGGACAAACATCAAATTTATGGTGAAGCTTGGGTGGAAGAATGGTGAAATTATTTATGCTTTATAAAAAGTTTATGGGGACAATGCCCTAAAGGAATTGGCAGTTTATAAATAGCTAACTCATTTTAAGAAGGAGTGAAATAATTTTGAAGATGAAGCCCGCAGCAGCAGACCATCCACATCAATGTGTGAAAAAAATTAATCTCGTTCATGCCTATGATTAACAGCAGAAATAATAGCCAACACCATAGACATCTCAGTTTGATCAGCTTACACAATTCTGACTGAAAAATTAAAGTAGAGCAAATTTTCCACTCAATGGGTGCCAAAATGATTGCACCCAGATCAGGTGCAGACAAGAGTAGAGTTTTTAATGGAGATTTTAAACAAGTGTGATCAAGATCCTGAAGTATTTCTTTGAAGAATTGTAAAAGAAATGAAACATAGCTTTACCAGTATGATCCTGAAGACAAACACAATCAAAGCAATGGCTACCAAGAGGTGGAAGTGGGAGCCTGTCAAAGCAAAAGCAGACTGGTCAAGAGCAAAGACCATAGCAACGGTTTCTTGGGATGCTCAAGGCATTTCACTTGTTGGCTTTCCGGATGGCCAAAGAATGATAATATTTGTTTACTATGAGAGTGTTTTGAAAAAATTACCCAAAGCTTTAGCATGAAAATGCCCAAGAAGCTTCACCAGACAGTCCTTCTCCCCTAAAACTATGCTCCTGCTCATTTCTCTCAGCTAAATACGGTTATTTTTTTTTTGAGAATTTTGATGGGAAATCATTAGATATCCACGTTACAGTCCTGATTTGGGTCCTTCTGGTATCTTTTTTGTATCCTGATCATAAAAAAAATCTTAAAGGGCATCCATTTTTCTTGAGTTAAGAACATACATTGACCTGGTTAAATTCCCAGGACCTTTGGTTCTTTAGGGATGGACTAAATGGCTGGTAGCATCACTTACAAAGGTGTCTTGAACTTGATGGAACTTATGTTGACAAATAACGTTTATATATTTTTTTATTTTTAATTCCATTTTCCATAAACTTTTCAAAGTGCTGTCATATATAGACAATGGAATACTATTCAGCAATAAAATACAATAAAATGGAGTACTATTCAGCAATAAAAAAGGAGATCCTGTCATTTTTGACAACATGAATGGACCTAGAATATGTTATGCTAAGCGGGATATGCCAGGCACAGCAAGATAAATACTGCATGATCTCACTTATATGTGGAATCTAAAAAAGTTGATCTCACAGAAGCAGAGAGTAAGGTGGTTACCAGGGGCTGGGATAATTGGGGGTGGTGAGGTGGGGGGTCTTGAGGCGGGGGAGTTGGGGAGATGTTGGCCAAAAGATACAAAATTTCAATTAGATAGAAGAACATGTTCAAGAGATCTATTGTACAACATAGCATCTATAGTTAACAATATATGTATTCTTAAAAAATCCTAAGGGAGTAAATATAAAGTTCCCTCACCACAAAAATGATAACTATGTGAGGTGATGCATCTCTTAATTAGCTATACATTATTCTTCAATGTATATATATTTCAAAACAACATGTTGTACATAGTAAATACATACATACATGTTTCTGTTGATTAAAAAATAAGAAATTTAAAAGAAAAAGAGAAAGATGTGCAAGATAACTGATTACCTTGGGAGTCTGAAATTGGAAAGTGGGAGTGGAGGAATAATTAGCTCTTTACACATCTTTGCAATGTTCCACTTGTTATTACAATAAACAAGACTTTCTCCAAAATTTGAAAAACACCAAAGAAATTTTAAAAGGGAAAGATAAGGATTCAATATAGTTTTGTCAATTGACAGGTAAAAATGTGAGTGCATTTAGAAATACAAATAAATTTCATTACAAATATATTTATCTTAAAGATGAATGCATTTTCTAGTTATGTAGAGCCTGAAGACACGAATGCTTGGAGAAATACAATAAAATAGATTGGTGTAAGGCAAAGGACAAAAGAGTGTCCTCTCCCTCTCCCTCTCCCTCTCCCCACGGTCTCCCTCTCTTTCCACGGTCTCCCTCTCATGCGGAGCCGAAGCTGGACTGTACTGCTGCCATCTCGGCTCACTGCAACCTCCCTGCCTGATTCTCCTGCCTCAGCCTGCCGAGTGCCTGCGATTGCAGGCACGCGCCACCACGCCTGACTGGTTTTGGTGGAGATGGGGTTTCGCTGTGTTGGCCGGCCGGTCTCCAGCCCCTAACCGCGAGTGATCCGCCAGCCTCGGCCTCCCGAGGTGCCGGGATTGCAGACGGAGTCTCGTTCACTCAGTGCTCAATGGTGCCCAGGCTGGAGTGCAGTGGCGTGATCTCGGCTCACTACAACCTACACCTCCCAGCCGCCTGCCTTGGCTTCCCAAAGTGCCGAGATTGCAGCCTCTGCCCGGCCGCCACCCCGTCTGGGAAGTGAGGAGTGTCTCTGCCTGGCCGCCCATCGTCTGGGATGTGAGGAGCCCCTCTGCCTGGCTGCCCAGTCTGGAAAGTGAGGAGCGTCTCCGCCCGGCCGCCATCCCATCTAGGAAGTGAGGAGTGCCTCTTCCCAGCCACCATCACATCTAGGAAGTGAGGAGCGTCTCTGCCCGGCCGCCCATCGTCTGAGATGTGCGGAGCGCCTCTGCCCCGCCGCCCCATCTGGGATGTGAGGAGCGCCTCTGCCCGGCCGCGACCCCGTCTGGGAGGTGAGGAGCGTCTCTGCCCGGCCGCCCCGTCTGAGAAATGAGGAGCCCCTCCGCCCGGCAGCCACCCCATCTGGGAAGTGAGGAGCGTCTCCGCCCGGCAGCCGCCCCGTCCGGGAGGGAGGTGGGGGGGTCAGCCCCCCGCCTGGCCAGCCGTGCTGTCCGGGAGGGAGGTGTGGGGGGTCAGCCCCCCGCCCGGCCAGCCGTGCTGTCCGGGAGGGAGGTGGGGGGGGTCAGCCCCCCGCCTGGCCAGCTGCCCCGTCCGGGAGGGAGGTGGGGGGGTCAGCCCCCCGCCTGGCCAGCCGCCCCGTCCGGGAGGGAGGTGGGGGGGTCAGCCCTCCGCCCGGCCAGCCGCCCCGTCCGGGAGGTGAGGGGCGCCTCTGCCCGGCCGCCCCTACTGGGAAGTGAGGAGCCCCTCTGCCCGGCCAGCCGCCCCGTCCGGGAGGGAGGTGGGGGGGTCAGCCCCCCGCCCGGCCAGCCACCCCGTCCGGGAGGGAAGTGGGGGGGTCAGCCCCCCGCCCGGCCAGCCGCCCCGTCCGGGAGGGAGGTGGGGGGGTCAGACCCCCACCCGGCCAGCCGCCCCGTCCGGGAGGTGAGGGGCGCCTCTGCCCGGCCGCCCCTACTGGGAAGTGAGGAGCCCCTCAGCCCGGCCAGCCACCCCATCCGGGAGGGAGGTGGGGGGGTCAGCCCCCCGCCCGGCCAGCCACCCCGTCCGGGAGGGAGGTGGGGGCGGTCAGCCCCCCAACCCGGCCAGCCGCCCCGTCCGGGAGGTGAGGGGCGCCTCTGCCTGGCCACCCCTACTGGGAAGTGAGGAGCCCCTCTGCCCGGCCAGCCGCCCCGTCCGGGAGGGAGGTGGGGGGGTCAGCCCCCCCGCCCGGCCAGCTGCCCCGTCCGGGAGGGAGGTGGGGGGGTCAGCCCCCCGCCTGGCCAGCCGCCCCGTCCGGGAGGGAGGTGGGGGGGTCAGCCCTCCGCCCGGCCAGCCGCCCCGTCCGGGAGGTGAGGGGCGCCTCTGCCCGGCCGCCCCTACTGGGAAGTGAGGAGCCCCTCTGCCCGGCCAGCCGCCCCGTCCGGGAGGGAGGTGGGGGGGTCAGCCCCCCGCCCGGCCAGCCACCCCGTCCGGGAGGGAAGTGGGGGGGTCAGCCCCCCGCCCGGCCAGCCGCCCCGTCCGGGAGGGAGGTGGGGGGGTCAGACCCCCACCCGGCCAGCCGCCCCGTCCGGGAGGTGAGGGGCGCCTCTGCCCGGCCGCCCCTACTGGGAAGTGAGGAGCCCCTCAGCCCGGCCAGCCACCCCATCCGGGAGGGAGGTGGGGGGGTCAGCCCCCCGCCCGGCCAGCCGCCCCGTCCGGGAGGGAGGTGGGGGCGGTCAGCCCCCCAACCCGGCCAGCCGCCCCGTCCGGGAGGTGAGGGGCGCCTCTGCCTGGCCACCCCTACTGGGAAGTGAGGAGCCCCTCTGCCCGGCCAGCCACCCCATCCGGGAGGGAGGTGGGGGGGTCAGCCCCCCGCCCGGCCAGCCGCCCCGTCCGGGAGGGAGGTGGGGGGGTCAGACCCCCGCCCAGCCAGCCACCCCGTCCGGGAGGTGAGGGGCGCCTCTGCCCGGCGGCCCTTACTGGGAAGTGAAGAGCCCCTCTGCCCGGCCACCACCCCGTCTGGGAGGTGTGCCCAACAGCTCATTGAGAACGGGCCAGGATGACAATGGCGGTTTTGTGGAATAGAAAGGGGGGAAAGGTGGGGAAAAGATTGAGAAATCGGATGGTTGCCGTGTCTGTGTAGAAAGAAGTAGACATGGGAGACTTTTCATTTTGTTCTGCACTAAGAAAAATTCTTCTGCCTTGGGATCCTGTTGATCTGTGACCTTACCCCCAACCCTGTGCTCTCTGAAACATGTGCTGTGTCCACTCAGGGTTAAATGGATTAAGGGTGGTGCAAGATGTGCTTTGTTAAACAGATGCTTGAAAGCAGCATGCTCGTTAAGAGTCATCACCAATCCCTAATCTCAAGTAATCAGGGACACAAACACTGCGGAAGGCCGCAGGGTCCTCTGCCTAGGAAAACCAGAGACCTTTGTTCACTTGTTTATCTGCTGACCTTCCCTCCACTATTGTCCCATGACCCTGGCAAATCCCCCTCTGTGAGAAACACCCAAGAATTATCAATAAAAAAATAAATTAAAAAAAAAAAGAAATACAATAAAATATACAATCACAAAACATATAAAATGTCTCTGTAGCCCCATCAGACATTACACCTTTCACAGTTTGGACTTTATGACATTGCTTATCATAGCTTAGAAGAAACATGATGTTGGTATGACACACATATGCAAAAAAAACTCACTAAAAATGATCACCTATGAAGTCCTAGAAATTATTCTCCCTAGGCACAATGCCAGCATTAGTTATTCATAACCCTGAATTGTTTTCCTCAGCCATCAGAAGTAAGAAACATGTCAAATTTGAAAGTACTTAAAAGTGAAGCAGGTGCTCTGATCACACCCCTAGAGCCTATGTCTGAAGTGGCACTGTAAGTTTTGGTTGAAAGCCTTCCCTATCACCATCATATAAATGTCAAAAGCCTTAGTGTCATGGCATAGAACTAACAGCAGCACAGAATGACAGGCAGGGAGTCTGGACCTTGGGTTCCTCCATGTGTGAAACTGACAAGCTAATATAGATTTAAATGCTTAGGCCTTTTAAATGAGAATTAGCAACACAAACATGGAGTAATGCAAAGTGAAAGGGATAACAGGTAACACTCAGATCTAGAAGAATCATCCTCTCTTGTCTAGTCTCATTGGTTCACTCTAGGATTGGGCTATCAGCATGGCTTTAGAAAGCCAAGTCCACTTTTATCTCACCTTCCTCAGGTACACTGTTAAAATCATCATCATCATCCAGCAGAAATGTAGGTGTCAGGCACACGGCTGCTCTAGAGACTGTATAGTAGCTGATTAGGCCCCGTGGAATGCAGACTAGCCCTAGAACCATACTGTAGTGTTGGGAGAGACACAACAGTGAGTAGAAATAGACAAACTTAGCTTCTGCAGTGGCTCTCAGGGTGTCTCTGCTCATGACTGGGATTTGTGGACATTGCCATAGGTACCCCCCTTCATTTTTAAAGGGGTGAATTATGTTCAGAATGCTCAGTATATAAGGCATGGAAAAACATAAACTGTATTTCAGAGTTCATCATCAATAAAAACAAAAATTGACAAGTTTCTCCTTGAGGTGCCTAGGGTTAAGTCTTGGTTCTCTACACAATTAAGTTATATAGACCCCAAGGACATGAAAGAAATGAAGGGTGACAGTAGCACAAATTAGCAATATAATGCTGAGGTCATACTTGGTAAAGGAGTGACCAGGGCAGGAGGGATAAGGCTGGAGAAATTTTCAGGAAGTGACTTTTTGAGCCAACTTAAAAGCCTAGAATGTGAAGCCAAAGAGTAGTCTACTAGGAAAGGGAATGGCAGGGGCAATAGTACAGATTTGGAAAGCTCACTGTGGGAGCACAGCAGAAGTGTCTAACAGCTCTCCAGGCAGAACAGCTGTCCTCAGAGAAGCACGGTTTGAGAGTCAGAGACCCCAGCTGCAGTCCTCACTGTGGGATAAGCCCTAATGAGTGGCTGTCTGGTGTGGAAAGCTGGTGGGAGGGAGTCAGAGGAGAGAAAGACAAGAGGAAGGAGACCTATGCTAATGACAAGGCCATCTGCACACACTTCTCAAACAGGGCTGGATTGGGAGATTTGCTTTAGGACAAAAGAGACACCACATAGCCACTAAGGACTGTTCACCATGCACTGTCGGCCAAAACCCAGGGCCATCTGGGACCTCTGGCTCCCCACTTTCAAAGCAGGAACATGTTCTTCCCACTTCCTTTCCTTAGGAGATTAACTGAAAAGACATAGCCATTGCAACATTTCCTCAGAGCAGAGAAGCTGCAGGAGATCAAAGTCTCCCCACATAAAGCTCTTCAGGGAAAGGGCAGAATCCAAATAGCTGAAGATTGGACCATGAGACAGGGAAGGGTCATGAGGTTCAGGCTCCCATCCCATCATTCAGCTAATTTTCTGAAACTCTTGACTGTTCCTGACATTCACAGGCCAAGAGCTATCTTCCATGACCACAGACTATACCATAATCCTCACAGTCACAAAAGCCTAGGCAAGAACCATAAGTAATTCCATATGAATCCACCCTCCATATGAGAAAAAGAAAATTAAGCAGTGGTGTTAATGTGGATGGTGACATAATGAAACAAGAACAAGCTGGCTTGGAGGCAGGATCTACCTAGGCATAAATAAGTTCACAGAACCCCCAAAACGTAGATATAAGAAGCACTGTAGCACTCCCTTGCTGTCTTGAAGTGGGGCAACACTGCTTGCTGTTGAGAGGTCACTGGGCAGGGCTGCCCATTTTTCTCTGATTAGAAGGGCAGGGAAAAGAAACTGATGGAGAACTCTAAATGCAAAGCATCATGCTGTTTCCACTTACAACTGCTTTTGCCCCAAAGTCCTACTGACCTAAACTTATATAAATAAACATCAGAACAGGGAGAGATTTTGCTCATTAAATCATTAGCTTTAGCTTTAGAATGTGGAAAGTTTCCTGGCTAATCCTGCTACACATGGGAATCTGGCCCTCAAACAGTGAAAGAAGCCCAGGGCATCAAGAGTTCAGTTAAACTCAGAGACTGGTCAGCACATTCCCTCTCTTGGGAAACTCCTGGGATGGGGCAATATCATCAATCTCTTCTATATCTTTCTTCTTTTCTGGGTGTGTTCCAGACATGATCTCATCCACTGTCACCATATCCCCTGAAAAATAATGATGGCAATTTACATTTGCTCTGTGCTCTAGACTTAAAGTACTTTTAAGTACATTATCTTACTGCATGCCTACTTCAACTGAAATGGAATAGATATCATTCCCATTTTGTAGACATAGAAACTGAGGCTTGGCAAGGTTAGGGGAGCTGTACATATAGGTGGGGTAGCTCTGGCCTCCCATCCAAATATTATAATCCCTGTATACTTCTCACTGGATCTTGTTGCTTCCCACAAGGAAGAAATGCAGGAAGAATCTGCAACTCCCATTTTGTTGATGGGGAGATTGTGGCACTAATTTTTCAAGTGATCTTTGTGTGAGGCATAGAGTGAAGAAAGGGAAAATCTAGGAAATTATCCTTAGTCCAGGTCATCTGGCACCCTGAAGTCATGATAAAATGTAGTTTCTTGGAGTAAATCCCAAACTTTATACTATAATTTTTTTAAAATTTATTTTATATAATAGTTGTACATATTTTTAGAGTAATGTGATATTTTGATACCTGTATGTAATATACAATGATCAAATCAGAGTAACTGGGATATCCAAACCTTGAACCTTTCTAACTTTATAAACTTGCAAAGTTTCATCAGAGTGACAGCTACAGCGGATGAATCAGACTCAAGATCTACATCCAAATAATCCTATTCTCTTAGCTGTATTTTTTTAAGCAAATGAAACTGACCTTGGGAATTCCCAAGACACTAAAGAGTCCATAGGTCAAAGCCTCCTAAAGAAAAAGAAAAATGAAACATGTCCATCATATGGATTTGGAGTTCCCATTTTAGCCTCTTCCATGGCTTCCTTCCCTTGGTGATATTTTAAAATTCTAGGCAGGTGATGAGCCAAAGTCCACCGGAGCTATTTCAATCCATATTTGGCATTGCCGAGGCTCAGATATATTGTGCAAAATAGCCCATGGTGTGAAACACCATGGAGATATGTAATTATAGCTGAAGTTGCCAGTATTTGTTTTGTTGGCTCCTAGATTGCAGCAGGACAGCTGCACCAATCTCTATTTAAATCCAAAGGGCAGTACCTTGGGCTAGCTGGGCATATGCCTTGTGCATCCCAAGACAAATAAAGGCACCAATCCTGATGAGGCTTGGATGTCCCCTGGTATCTGCAGGAGGCCATAAGATCTCAGCTCCCTCTGTCTCAAACCTGGCTACATTTCCAGGTGGAATAACTCAGATGTAATGATCTGTTCCTGTCACAACTTGAGAGTGGGCTTTTCTCCTGTTAAAAATTTATTCTGAACAAAATTGGTTTATGAAAATGCCTCCAGTTGCTCATTGGCAGAGAAAAAAGACAGATCTGCCTGGTGGGTTGCTCTTGTTGGTGATGTGTGTTTATTTTTTGGTTTGCTTAATATACTGCCTGAAGCCCTTTTCCTCAGGGCTCTTTGATGCTGGTTCCTTTCCTCATTGCCTGCACCAGCTGCCTCAGCTACCCACATGTTCTCAAATCTCTTACCCATCAGCCCCCACAACCTGATTTGCCCCCATTACCCTGAATGCCACGGCCAGGAAGTACTTGCCTCATGGAGGTCTCAGGGGGGCTGGAAAGCATTGCCCACCTCAAATCACACCTGGACCAGCAGGAAGGGATGAAGGAGGAAGAGGAAGAGGAGAAGGAGGAAGAAAGAGGCTACAAATGTTACTGTTCTGAAGCTCTCCCCACCACCGCTGCTGCCACCATCACTACTCCCCACCCCCACTGCTGCCACCATCACTACTCCCCACCCCCACTGCTGCCACCATCACTACTCCCCACCCCAGCCGGTTTTATGGACTCAGAAGGTCCTCATAGCCCTGTAATATATGCACACCTACAATGAGGAACTGGAAAGGCTTGGGAGGGTTCTTGTAAATTGCCATTCTCTGAAGCTTTCTCTTGGGAAGAAATTCCGAATGCTTGGCTTAGACCCAGCCCTCTGTCTTCAATGCTAATGTTGCTTCTCTTTACACACTTATAACTGTACCTGGTTTTAATAGCCTGTAAGTTACTAGAATCTGGAAAAGAATATAAAGTTTTAATATTAAAAATGCCACTAGCAAAGAAAAATAACATTGTAGATATGCATCTATTACCATGGCTATATCATTAAATGAGAAAAACTGGTTACTAAATGTACCTATATACACATAAACAGAGGAATAACTGGGAGAATAAACAGAAAGTATTAGCAACTGTTAGTTAGACAACCAAGTGGGTGGATTATTTCTGTTTCTTTTTGCTTGTCTGTATGTTTTACATTGAAAAATATGTAACTTTGTAATTAAACATAAAAAGATAAATAAAGTAGAAACTTCCTTTAGAAAAAAATCAGAAGGAAGGTTGACTAACCCCAGTTTTTTTAATTCCTCTTGTGTGTGTGCTAGAAGTGCAGGCTCTGAGGTCAGCCTACCTGGGTTCACATCTTGCCACCTCCACTTGAATGATCCTCTCTAAGCCTGATTCCTCATCTGGAAAATATTAACAGTAAATCTATAGAGCTGTTTCAAAGATTAAGTGAGGTATTCCTTGTAAAAGCGTGCCTTCAATAAATGATAGTTATTATCAGTTATTCTTGTATGTTTGTCTTTATAGCATAGGTTTAAAACCTTACAAATACTTTTTCAAATCTTTTCGTGAAGGCAAAATAGTCTTGTGAAATTTGCATACATTCCTCCTATATGCAAATTCATCACATGCTCCCTCTTCTTTCAGCGTAGACAAATGCTGGCTTCCCCAGCAGCAAGCACATTCCTGAGGCCCACCCTGCTCACGGTGTCACAGAAACAAAAGAAAGGGAGAAGAGAAAGGAAGTTGATTCTGCTTCTCTTAATCTGGGCAAGTTGACTTGTGTTGAGATTAATTATTGGAAGACATGGTAATAAATGGTTTGCTTTCAGAATCAATACTGGGCAGACAAGAAAGCTTTCCTCTGGAATAGCTTTCCTTGCTTCCTTTCTAAACCATGCCAATGCTCTCTGAGAGACATTAACTTTATTCTTCCTATTGGTGTGTTACTCTCACTGTGCAAGGTAAAATATGTTGTCACATTTGTGAAACTTGAGTGATTCCACTCTTTCTGAGGAGGGCCACTAGGCAGAGAATTCTTTAGAAGGGAGAGTCTGTTCTCACTTGTCTCATAGTGTCTCTCTACTTCTTTCTCCCTTTTCTGGGGCCCCATGGCAGGCTCAGCTCCAGCCCAGTGACATACACCAAATGGAATCGCACATCTCCCTGACAGACTTGTCCTCCATATCAGATTCCACCGGCAGCCAACCCAGCCTTCCCCTGGTACTCAGTTTCCATAACCACAATTTTGTCCTGTTCCTAAGAGCCAGCCATTACCTTACCAGGTACCCCAAGAATCCTGCCTCTGAATTGCAGCCCAGCAGCTACAGCCCGGAAACCTGTTAAGAGCCTCCCAGGTGCAAACTGTCCAGCCTCCACCTTGGGTCGCTGAACACCACTGGCTCCTGGATGCCCAGCTGCTGGGTGTTCCCTGCCCCTAGGCAGGATATACCATTACTCTATTGGCTTTCCTTGTTTGACTGGTCAAATAAGGCACCCATCTCTTCCATAACACTTAACGCTTGATGATGTTTGTCAGTACCTGCAGCTGATCTGTCCTCTTGGCACCTGGCCATCTCAAAGCACAGGCCTACTCTTTCCCACATAGCTAAGTAGACCACACCATGCTGAATCTTGAGAGATGACAGCATGGGACTTAACAGCGTTGCCTGGAAGGGAGTGAAGCTTAAATATATTCTATTACCAGCCACCAGCACCAACATGATCACCATTTGCTGCCACAGAGACCGCCATTTATGGAGCATCTCCTGAGAATCAAATTCTTGATTAGGTACTTTCCATATATTATTTCTAATCTCCACATCACTCTTCAGGGTAGGTGTCACTCTCATTTTAGAGAGAAGAACTCTGGGGCTCAGAGAACTTAAGTGATTTTCACAAGGTCCAGGGCCAAAAGTGGAAAAAACAGATTGACCCCAAATGCTATGCTTTTCTTCACTATATCATATGTCCCAGCAGAGGGGAAATCAGAACTAAAGGGGACATCTCATATGGAGATAGGGGACTACTAGGGGGGTAGATTTTTGAAAGCTAGGACATTTCATTAGTGATAGCTTAATTTCAGCAAAAGGTAAAAGGAAAGGGATGAAATAACTATCTGGTCTGGGCCAAGTATAGTCCACCATTTTGTGCTAGAACATAGAAATGAAGACTCAGGCCAGATACCGGCCAAATCAATTGTTAAATAGGCCAAGCTTCAGCAAAGAGCAGAGCCAGCTGTCACCAATCATTCTTACATGTGCTTCAGATACACCAGAGGACAGGCAGAGAAGGGCAAAAGTCAGTCATATGCAGCCTGAGGCTGCATAGACACCTTTTGGGTTAAAAAGATGTCAAGGAGGACCATGAAGGTGACCCTTCATGATAGTCTGATGAAAATCTTAGAGGCAAGGAGGGAAAAAGTATCACTTAGGGGTCCTACAGCCACAGTGCTAATGTGCAGCTAGCTGTCTGAGGGATGACCCAGATCCACACATGGAAAGAGGGCTAGGAACTGGCTCTGGGATGGAAATGAGGCCTGATCCCCACCAGGCCTGATCCCAGAGACATCCGAGGTTCTTTTGAATCAAGAGACTCCACAGCAGGGTGGTTGACAGCCTGGACTCTGGAGCTAGACTACTAGGGCTTGAATATGAGCTCCACCATTCACTAGGTCTATCAACTTGAGCTACTCATTTAGTCTCTGTGCCTCAAATTCCCTATCTATAAATGAGAATTAGAAATATATATTAATAACTCATGGGATGTTGTGAGAAATAAATAAGTTAACATAAGAAAAATAATTCAAACAGTGTCCAGCACACAGAAAGTACTCAGTAGGTGTTATTATTGTTGTTGTTATTAAGGCCATTTCCTTCTCAAAAAGGGGAAGGAAAAAAATGGCAACCAGTGAACATACTATATTGAATCAAAAGCAGTCTGTGACTAGAAGAGTTGTCTTGGACTCAAAATCAGTATGCTGAATACAAAGTCAACATACAGTATACCACTTCTGTCTAATTTTTGTTTTGTTGTTGCCTTTCGGATCTCTTTGGAAAAGGCCAATCTTATCTGTAATAACAGCGAGTTTTTAAAAAGAAAAAAAAAGACTTCCTTCCATTTCAGCTAACGGAGTGAGAAGGTTAAAGCCTCCTCTGATAGTCAGGCTCAGTGTGATGATAATGATCCCAGCTGGATAAATCATGGAAAATTAGTGGGGCTGGGAAAATGGACACAGAAAGGACTGCCATTTCTTCTTGTCAAGAGTGGTTTCCTATAGCTTCATCTGAATTTTTTTTTAGCTTTCTTTAATTAAAGAAAATACAAAAGAGTCCAAAGAACTCACTCAAAATTTGACTCAAAAGATGCTTCCTCTAAAGTGCCAGACCCTGGGCTGGGGCTAATCAGGGTGACCCCCAGCACAGGGCAGTCTTGCTAATTCTATCAGGAGAGTACTCAGTTATGTTCCAGGTTATGTGGTTCTGGAGCCTGTGTTCTTATAAATATTCATCTGATCTACCTCTCTTATCATTCTTAGAGTTGAGAGGGACCTCAGAGATCATCTGGCCTGATATCCGCCCAACAAAGGCATTCGTTCCATAGCACTCATTCGTTTATCTTTCAAGTATCCATTGCATGTCAGGGTCACCACTGTGCTAGGCATTGGTTTAAAAAGACTGAGACAAAATTACTGCCCTGAGGAAGGTCACAGTCCAGCCAGATAGTGAGGATAGCAAAAAACTGATTATGGCACTGTGCTAACTACCATAATAGAGATATGACCAGAGTAACTAGGTGACTAGAAAAGGGGCATCCAATCCAAACCAAGGAGGCTACTGAGGGCTTCCTAGAGGAGGTATACTTGAGACAAGTGTTTGAAGGTGATAGGAGCTGGTCAGTTAAAGGAGTGAGAAGGATTAAGGAGACAGCATTGAGACTTGAGAGCATGGCATGCTCAGGAAAACTCCAGGACAACAGGAATACAAGATGGGATAGAGGGAACACAGGAGGGGTAAAAGGTAAAGCCAAACAAAGTAATGGGCAGGTCATAAAGGGTTTATATTATCAAGAGTTTGAACTTTATCCTGATGGGGAGCCATCTATAGGTTCCATAACCATTGGAGATCATGATGATGAGATTGCATTTGAGGGAAGCCACTGTTGTGGCAGCGTGAGGATAGATTTAAGACAATGACTGGAGTCAGGGAAAACAGAAGGATATTGCAGTATTCCAAGCAAGAGATAATGAGGCTCTGATCTAAGGCAGTGGCAATGGGGATGGAAGGAAAGAAACACACGAAAGAGGCAGAATCAATAAGACTTTGCAATATTGCAATAGACTCAATGATGAGGAAGAGCAAGAGAAGAATCAAGAATGACTCCCAAGTTTCTGGCTCAAGCAAGTGGGTGGTTGGTGGCCTTCACTGGTATAACGAATGCAGGAATAAGAGCACACCGGAAGGGGTGGGAGGTGATATAATAAACTTTGGACACACGGAGTTTAGGAACCCTCTGAAAATTGCAATAGAGGTGTCCACAGAGCCAATGGGTTTATAAATATCGAACCCAGGGGTGAAACCAGAGATGAGACATGGATTTGGAAGCCATGAGAGTAGGCGTGGCTGTTGAGACTGAGAGAGAGTCTAAATTGTTCAGGGAGTTTGTGTAAAGTGAGAAGAGAAGATCTGAGGAACAAATCCTGGGGAAAAGGGAAAAGAGTTTAATCAGGACCAGCCAGAAAGTCATAAGGAAACCAACAGAGCACGATGTCAAGGAAGGCTTGGAAAAAGAGGGCTTTAAAAGGCAGAAGTGGGTGACAGGATTAAATGCTTCAGAACAGTCAATTAAGACCTGTTAAGTGGCCAGGTGCGGTGGCGCACACCTGTAAATCCTAGCATTTTGGGAGGCCAAGGTGGGCAATCACCTGAGGTCAGGAGTTCAAGACCAGCCTGGCTAACATGGCAAAACTCTGCCTCTACTAAAAATACAAAAATTAGCTGAGTGTGGTGGCGGGCACCTGTAATCCCAGCTACTCAGGAGGTTGAGGCAGGAGAATCACTTGAACCCGGGAGGCAGAGGTTGCAGTGAGCCGAAATCGCGCCATTGCACTCCAGCCTGGGTGACAAGAGAGAAACTCTGTCTCAAAAAAAAAAAAAAAGAAAAAGAAAAAGAAAAAAAAAAGAGAACAATCTGTTCAGTGTCTTTTGGATTTAGCAATAAATAATACAGTTAGCAAATAAAAACCAGAGACTCCTGTTGGAGTCCCTGGTAAGATTAACCTCAGTGGGCCAGAGAGAACAAAAGCCAATGGCAGGGGTCGAGGGGAATGGAGGAGGTAAGGAAGTAGAGGCAGCAAATATAAACTCCTCTATCAAGAACTTGGACTACAAAGGGAAGGAGAAACAGAGGGGAAAGTAGAGTTCAGAGAAGCTGTTCTTGGTGGCTTGTATTTGTATTAATTTGTTTTTAAGATGGGAGAGGCTGGGCGCGGTGGCTCACGCCTGTAATCCCAGCACTTTGGGAGGCCAAGGCAGGTGGATCATTTGAGGTCAGGAGTTCGAGACCAGCCTGGCCAACATGGTGAAACCCCATCTCTACTGAAAATATAAAATTAGCAGGGTGTAGTGGCTCATGCTTTTGATCCCAGCTACTTGGAGGGCTGAGGCAGGAGAATCGCTTGAATCTGGGGGGCAGAGATTGCAGTGAGCCAAGGTTGTACCACCACACTCCAGCCTGGGTGACAGAGCGAGACTCTGTCTCAAAAAAAAAAAAAAAAAAAAAAAAGATGGGAGAGAGTTGAGGGTGTTTAATCCTAAGGAAAAAAGGTTGCCTGTATCGGAAAACCTCCAGTGGGACGAAGCACACTACATCACAAGGCACTTCACTCTGTTTTGGACAGCTCATAAAAATGCAACCCATGGTTAGAAGTTACACCTGAATTAAGCTAAAATTGGCTTCACTATACCTTTTATTCTTATTTCATCTATGGGAAGCCTTCAACTATCAAACTCATCACCCCTGCCTTCCATAAAACATTCTTTACTTAAAACAAAACATATCCAGTTACTTCAACTTCACAATCATGGTAGCCTTCCAACAATTGTGGTGTATTTTGTCAATATCTTTTTAAAAATATATTTTCCAGAATTAGGCGCAATTTTCCACATGTGATCTAAACAGTGACAGTATAATTATTATTTCTCTGGTTTAGATATTATATTTTAATTTATATTATCACTCAAAAGCCTTTAACATTCCTCTCTGCTCTAAGAATAAAGTCTATATCCTTGCATCTACAGGTCAAAGTTCTTGGGAGTTTATACACAAACTACACTTTTTGAACTTTTCTACAATGATTCACATTCTACCACATAGAACCCTTTGCTCTAACCTACTTAACTGATTTCATTTACAGTATCACAGATTTTTCCAGGAGATTCCAGGGAGCTTGAGGACTCCCACTATGACCATAGTTTTCCTTGACCAGAATTGAAATAATCTCAGAACAGCATTTTCCATATCTTCCATTTGATGGAGCAGACTATGGTCCTCTCCACTAACATGATGGCTCATTTCTGTGTTCCTCTTATCTTCATTTTGTTTCTGCATAAGGTTCTACCCTCAGGTTTGTAGATTTCATATAGATGTGAAGCATCCTGATACACTGTCACTCTTCCCATTAGAACAAGTCCTTTCAACAAAGAATCCTCTTCTATTGCCATTTTCTAGTTATGAGCTCAATATCCTGAGGTCTCAGGACTACCTATTATATTTATCTTCTTGTGTTAAAAGTTTAAGTGCACTACTTGTTACACATGCCTTTTGTTGGTTTATTTATAAAGAAGCCTAAAAATATTGTTTGCAACCTGTATTCTTGGTATTTTTTGAAACCTAAGGTTATCTAAGCACATTTTATTTATAACACTCTTTTTCTATGTCACCTATGTAAAGCCTGATATATCTGATTTTGGCTTCACTGGGTTAATTTTCTCCCTCAACTTTAAAATTCATTTAAATCTTTCTATATAGATCATCAAGGTTTCTGCCAATGTATATCCTTCCCAGTCCTTACAAGATGCACTCCATCCCTTGCCAGAAGCCCGTCATCCTGGCTCTGTAGAACACAGTCCAGAAAACTTTTTAAATACCATCTACATAGGCATGCATGTTTCTCAAAGCTTCCCTTCTTTGCTGTAGTTACTGCCATCACATGGAACGAGAGATAAAAACACCACCTGTGCTTTCAAATCTTTCAGTTTGTTACTCAGAACTTATGTCATTAGGAATAAAACCCCAATTTCTTCTGAATGTGCCATTTGTTCCCCAAAGGAAGCAGCAAATGTGGGTGACAGTTCATGGGGTTAATAAAAGGTTCATGGTAGGCTCTCTATAATATCTTGGATATTGGCTCCTGCCCTCTCCCAATTTTCTACATCATATCCACATAAAGTGACCTTCAAAACCCCTGACTGGAAGTTATCCACAAGATATAACATCTTTTTTCATCCTCAGTGTGATCACCAGATGGTCTCCCATCAGCTCATACCAGTAACTTCTCCCTAGTGCTCCAGGGAGGGAAAGTTCTGAATCCACCCCAACGGGAAACGTGTCATGCAAGATCCAAAGGGCAAGACTATCCTTTATTTCTCTGCTGCTTCACATTCCTCCACTTGCCCACTTCATGACATTAATTTTTCTGCATTTTCCTGGCTTTCTTCCTCACTATTTTTTTTTTCATTTGCCTAAGAATCTTTCATCCTTGTTAAGAAGCTAGAGTGTGAAAAAGCATCTATTTAAGCTCTCCCACCTTTTCCTTCTGCTTGCATTTGCAGCTGCTATAATTGGTCATCATCTCTGGCAAGAAGAGAAAGAAGGAACTTACTGTGAAGGTCACTGCATCACTGCATATTAACTGAATTGCCAGATGATGTAGCTTTCACTAGAAATGCCCCTTGAAAATCCTAAAGGAGCAAACATTATGCCTCTTTTCTTGTCACAGAATTTCTTAGAGGGTTAGAACATGTTTGATGCATTTTTTAAAATTAGATTTTGAGTTCCTCAAGACAGAAACTGTGGAACTCTAACTTTTCACAGTGCCCAACACAGAAACTTGATGGGAAATGAAAATTGATGAGGGCTATTGTCCAACTCTGAGGGCACAGACTTTCCATCTCTGTGGATTATCCTATTTTATTTTGCCCTTATTACTATGGTAGGTTTGCTGATTGTACTCAGAGTATCTTCGGTGGGCAAGGTCACTGATAAATCCACTAAAATGCCTTCCTTCTATTCTTACCTATTTTGAATGATTTTTTTTTATAGTTCCAGTTTTACTAAGTCAACAAAGTATCAAGATAGCACAATGCAGTTGCCTACAGAGTTCAGAACATTTGTCATCATTGATTCTTTCTCTTACCACTTGTTTGGATTATCCATTCATTCTGTTAATTCTTCTTTCATAATAGCTCTTATTTTTTATTGTTATACTTTCAGTTCTGGGGTACGTGTGCACAACGTGCAGGTTTGTTACATAGGTATACATGTGCCATGTTGGTTTGCTGCACCCACCAACCCGTCATTTATATTAGGTATTTCTCCTAATGCTATCCCTCCCTCAGCCCCCTACCCCACAACAGGCCCCAGTGTGTGATGTTCCCCTCCCTGTGTCCATGTGTTCTCATTGTTCAATTCCCACTTATGAGTGAGAACATGCGGTGTTTGGTTTTCTCTTCTTGTGTTACTTTGCTGAGAATGATGGTTTCCAGTTTCAGAATGATTTTTTTAAAGTGTGTTCAAGTTTGATAAAAAAAAAAACAAAACAAAAAAACCACAAGGGTTGGATAGAGAAACAAGTAACCAGAGATTACTGAATAAAGTACTTAATTGTGCCCATGTTTTTCTATTTCTTTAAGTCTTTCTTTAAATTGTCTGCTCTTTCAAAAATGTTACATTAATGCTACTTAATATGTCTAGCTGCTTAAATGTGATTTGGTGCTCTGAGGCTTTAGATAATATATATTTGAACATAAACGCTTGCTAATTTTTGACTAAATTAGCGTACAGAAAATCTGGCATTTCAGATAATGAGGCCATAAAGCAGAACACTAACAGAGTAGGCACAGCTGTTATGTAAACCACAGGCACTTGAATACTCGCCTACCTCATAATAGCAAATATCTCAGGACAATATAACAGTACTACATTCTATTCCACCACCTGGGCAGACATGGAAACATCTATCCCCTGACAGCCATCCTATTATGGGCAGGAACTCCATCTTACACTTGTTTATATTCTTGATGACACCTAATGTCTCTTAAAATATGTGTCTCTTAAAAACTACTCGGTGGCCTTAGCCATTTGGGGAGATTATAGGCAAACTGAGTCCATTAGTTGACTAAGGACCAGGAGAGGTTCCCGCCAGTGCCCGGGACTTCTATTTGAGCACGCACAACCTCAGCAGCTTAGACTAGAAAACTGTAGACACAGATTCCCTGGTGTATCCCTTCCTGGGCCTTCACTCTGAATGTTGGATTCCTCTCTAGGGAGGCTGTCATGACTGCAAAGCCTTTCCCCAGTCAGCTCAGCTTCTATGTCAGCCATTCAAAGAGTGCCATCTGCAGGATGAACTGAGGACTCAAATATTTAATTCATCTTCAAATGGCATTTGAAGAATTTGTTTAAAATTTGTTCAAGAGCTATTAAACACAAAAGTTAAAGTTTAATGAAGGATAATGGATTGCCACATAAATTCTTCAAAGATATCATTTACATCTATTTTAATAGCTGCCCTAAATGTCTTTACTACAAAGACTGACCACTGGTAAGAATCACAGATGCCTCCACTATCCCTAGGGTGGAAATGTATTTGTTCAGGGGCTTTACACTGCCTAACCCCTCCCCGTGGGTAGCCATTCCCTCTGTTGAGGGCTTGCTTTTCCTTGCAGAAGGACAAATTTCCAGGAGCTGTGACAGATGTAATAGCTGTCTTTCTGCTTTGATTCAAGACAATTTTTTGAACCTAAATACAGAGAATGGGTGCTCAGAATTCCTTTCTCATTATCAGCCTCAGGTAAAGGAATCCTAAATGATAAGGCTAAAAGAGGTCCCTTCACAGAATCATGATCCTTTAGAGTATTGCTTATAAGTTACCCCAGGCTCCTACCCCACAGCATATATAGCCTTCCTGAACACATCTCATAAACAGCAACCCAAACAAAGAACAAGAGTGTCCATGCTTTGGCTTTCTGTCATTGATCTTCTTACTCGAGAACTTTTCAGTTCCTGATTAAATCCACTCCTCTTCTCCCAGTGGCCATCATCTAATTGAGAGCAGAAACAAGAGAGAAAGAAGAACCCTTTCCTTCCTAGTTTACCCCTTTTTCACCACCTAAACATGGCAATCACGTTGTACAGAACAAAGCAGGTCTCAGACAGGCTGCTACTGACAGTCAACCTGCCTTCACTGTGGTCAGCATTGGTTTTCCTATGTGGACTAACAATCCCAGGATGCTGGGCCACTCAATCTCCCAGAGTGGTGATGAAGGAATAAGGCAGGATTAATTCCCCAACTACAAGATCCAGCTCTGGAGGCTAATTTCAGGGTAATGGGATGGCTCACAAACCCCAGGTAAAGTGCTCCCTTTGTAGCTCACATCTGCTTTTCTCCTTTTCAGAGCAAACATTCCTCCTAAAAGCATGAGCCTTTTGGAAGTTAGAACTCTGTCTTCTCTTTCAAAAAAAATACAGTCTTATCAGAAAGCAGAGTCAGGGAGATGTGGATTATGCCAGTGGATTACTCATTGGAAGGGCCAGAGGAAAGTTGTAATGGATGTCAATAAGGGTGGCAACATCCCCCACCCTCACTCCCTTTCTCTTTGTCCCACACTTCCCATAAGCAAATGGGCACCTAGAAATGAATTTTATGCCCACTTCCTATACCTCAATAAGGAGGGACAGCATGGAATTAGGATAAGAACATGACTGTGGAATCCAACAGACCTGGGTTTGAATCTCAGCAGAGCCCCTGACAAGCTGGATGACTTGGGCACATGGAAGAACTTTCTAAGCCTCAGTGTTGTCTTCTATAAAACAAGGCAAATACTACCTATCATTCAGGATTGGTATAAGACAAGATATATAATGGAAACATAAGCTCTCAAAAATGTGTCCATTCTTTCTTTAGCGTGAATTTAAATTCATGTGTCTTTGCCGCTGATGGAAAGGCATTGTCCCATGTGAAAGGAATATCAGGCATCAGTGAGAAGGTGGAGGAACAGTTGGGAAAAATGGGACTGGGATGGCCATGGGTCTTGAATGGTTGTAACAAAATGCAAAAACTGCGGCCTATAACCAAAACATGGGCCTATAACCAAGGTTGGCATTGCCTCTGAGGCTATATCAGGCAGAGGGCAAGGAAGATTGAGCTGGGTCAGGGCTATGGGTGGCTTTGGGGACGTCCTTTCTAAGTGAGGAATGCTGAGGCATAGGACAGCCCACAGGCAGAAGCCCCAAAGCTATGGGATGGCCCTATTCCAACAGACCACCCCACGTACTACAACCTCCACTCTCAGCAGTCAGGGGATACCTGTGGCCCTCTCCCATCCTTTGCCCCCTAACAGCCTAGAAAGGAATGACCCAGGACCAGATATTGTGGATCTGTGCTGCATCTTGTCCATCATAAGGTGCATTGGGACCTGTGTCTATTACATTGGCAAAGTCCACCTCATTCTGCAGAAGGTCCTCATTGGCTATGAGGCTTTCTTTTTTTTTTATTGTGGTAAAATATACACAATATAACACTTACAATTATAACCATTTTAAAGTGTATAATTTAGTGGTATTAAGTACATTCACAGTGTTGTGGTGCAAGCATCACCATCATCCATCTCTAGAACTCTTCATCTTGCAAAACTGAAACTCTGTTATCAATTAAACCAGGGGTGTCCAATCTTTTGGCTTCCCTGGGCCACATTGGAAGAAGTCTTGGGCCACACATAAAATATACTAATGATAGCTGATGAGCTAAAAAAAAATTGCAAAAAAAATCATAATGTTTTAAGAAAGTTTACCAATTTGTGTTGGGCCGTATTCAAAGCCATCATGGGCCACATACAGCCCGTGGGCAATGGGCTGGATAAGCTTGCATTAAACAATAGCTCCCCATTCCTCCCTTCCCCCAGCCTCTGACAACCACCATTCTACTTTCCATCTCCATGAATTTCACTACTCTAGGTATAAGTAGAATCATAAAATATTTGTCCTTTTTGTGACTGGCTTATTTCACTTAGTATAATGTCTTCAAGGTTCCTCCATGTTGTAGCGTATGTTAGAATTCCCTCCCTTTTTAAGGCTAAATAATATTCCATTATCTGAATAGAACACATTTTGTTTATCCATGCATCCGTCAATGGACATTGGAGTTGCTTCCACCTTTTGAATATTGTGAAAATGGGTGTATAAATATCTGTTTGACAGCTGGGCACGGTGGCTCACACCTGTAATCCCTGCACTTTGGGAGGCTGAGGTGGGTGGATCACTTGAGGTCAGGAGTTCGAGACCAGCCTGGCCAACGTGGTGAAACCCCATCTCTACTAAAAATACAAAAAATTAGCCGGGTGTGGTGGCAGGTGCCTGTAATCCCAGCTACTCAGTAGGCTAAGGCAGGAGAATCACCTGAACCCAGGAGGCAGAGGTTGCAGTGAGTCACGATCACATCACTGCACTCCAGCCTGGGCAACAGAGCGAGACTGTCTCAAAAAAAAATCTGTTTGAGTCCCTGCTTTCAATTATGTTAGGGAGACAGCCTGAAGTGGAATTGCTGGATCTATGGTACTTCTATTTTTAATTTTTGAGGACCCTCCACATTGTTTTCCACAGTGGCTGCACCATTTTACATTCTCATCAACAGTGCACAAGGGTTCTATATGAGGCTTTCTTTATCCCACAGGTTGGGTCCAATCCACCCATATTCCCTGGGCTCAGGTCGCCACTGACATGGTCTTTCTGCCTCCTATGAGGCCTCTCATTTTTCAGCATATGCTTGCAGCTCCCCTAGAGATGCAGTAATGCTCCATGACTTTCCTGTTCTTGCTTGGTTGTTGACATGCCATCTCTTTTTGCATCCATAGCACATAGTCTGTCTGGGGCTGGGAGCCTCCCTGGGTGAGGCCCAGGGCTCTGTACAATGCCCAAAGTAGGGCCCACATTGAGGGCTGTCTGCCTGGTGGGATCGAAGTCAGCTCTGGCTAAAGCAGTGATATGGCAAAACCTAGCTCTGTCATTCTCACTCCTTCAGCAGCACCCACCTCTCTGTCCCATATGGGCACCCTCCCTGCCTTACTCCTCATTATTTTGTTTTACATGGCAGCTAATCACGCCTGATAAAATAACTGGAGAGCAGTATTTCATCTCGAAAATGAAAATTTTCAGGACCCGTTTGGAAAACTCCCCAATGCAGAAATATAACAGAGTTAGGATAACATTTTTGAGGTGGAGGCTCTGAACAAAAACACTTTAAAACAATTATACTATTAGACAAATGGTCAGGGCCTGTCATACAACATCTTTGTATAAATTCAAAAACAGTGCCCTTTTTGGATCAGGTGTGCAGCTCAGCTAAAAGACTGAACATTATATAAATGGCAGTTTAAATATTGTACAAATCACACGAAGGCAGGTTCTCTGGGCACATTCAACCCTGTGAGCGCATGGCTGGTGAGCAGGTGCCACCTATTTCTCCAGGTCCTGGAAGGTATGTGGCTTTGTAAATAGAGCTGGGACTGATTTTTAGCTCTCACTCACTGGCAGTGACAATCATAAGCAGTAGCCCTGGGGTGATGAGGAATCTAATAATGTCATTCCCTCCTGCCAGCACCACCTCGTGGACAAGGCATTTTTAGATCACACCAGCAGGAAGATCTTTTTCAAAGACCATAAATGTGGGCATCTATTTTACCACTCACCTAGAATCCAAAAGAAGACAAAGGACTCCTTGCATCAGGCAGGAAGGCAGCCCAGCAGCCACAGGTTATCAACCCAGCATGCCTCACCAAACACCAAAGCCACAGCCCTGGTCTCCCTCATCTAGACACACACACACACACACACACACACACACACAGCTTCTCACCTGAGCCACCTCTTCAAAGTCATCATGCCTCCCTCATCTAGACACACACACACACACACACACACACACACACACACACACACACACAGCTTCTCACCTGAGCCACCTCTTCAAAGTCATCATGCCTCTTCTGCAGGGCCCGGGCTCGATGTAGGGACTTCCCAACTCCAGTGTGTTTGCTGAGAAAGGCCTCACCATGGTTTTCAATCCAGTCCAACACCTGGTCAAAGAAGGATAACAGCAACAATGACTTTCTAGCAGAAGGAAAGACATGTGACAACATGTGCAACTGCTAGAGTCCTAACCACCCCTATATCCCATCCCAGTTGTAAAGCAGCAGTTCAGGTGGAAATGGTCAATCTGCTGTGAGTCCATGGGATTTCATTACTGTCATTGGCAATATCATAGTCCCACCTTTACCTAAATTCAACTTATCCTTTTTGATCTCCATATTATCCTTCCATTACTTTTTCCATTTTCTTAGTTCATTATTTTAAACAAGTTACACAGACCATCAGGCACAGTTTAACCCCCTCACCACTTCTACCCAATCACATAAAGATATTGGCAGGAAATTAGGTAGTAGCAGTTTGGGCAGTATCTTGGCCCTCATTACTCATCCGTCACGCTGCCATAAGAACACAAACAGCAATGGTGACCAGTCATGGGGATCCTGCCTCATTGTGCTCCGGGGACTCCCCTTCCTAATCTTGAAAGCAAAGTCCAGGGTAGTCAGTCTCCAGTTGGATGCTCATGATATCTGACCACTAGGACAAGAGCCCCCTCTGGCTTCTTTCCATCTCCCTCCTCCAATCGATACCAACCAACCAACCAAACAAACAAATAAATTAAAGTGTTTGCATCCTAAGTCCTTTAATATCTGAGTCTCTTGGGAAGCAGTGGAGACTTCAGGTTCTTCCAGGCTAAAGATCTAGTGATTTGGCTTCAAGACAGTTTCCTTGATATTTAGAGACACTGGAACAGAGACCCCTGGGCAATAGAGGGGTGAGAGAGAGGGGATGCTAAGAAGGGTGGAAAATAAGTTTTCCTGAGGGGCACTTGAGAGGCAGGATGGAAATCCCTTAGTAAAAGCCTTGACGTGCAGGGAGGATGAAAGCCTTTAATACCCATTTTGCATTCTTGCAGATGGCCTAACAAAAATGTGTGTATCCCAGAGATCATCTTTTGATCTCTGAAGAGTTGGCGCTCAGTAAATCAGGTGACCACAATTAAATCAGAATTACAGTATAGACACACCTGTTATAGATCCTGCTAAAACTCAAGTGAGCCCACTCACTGCCTGCAATATTAACCATTAACTAAACATTTAATTAATGATGTACTAGCCTTTCCAGATTTTGGAAGCACTTACTGGAAAATGGTTTAGATGAACTAGGTCTATTTAAAAGGATGGTTTAACTCATTCCTGTGTCTCAAACGGATTGCCCTGCAGCAAACAGAGGTAAAACCAAATCATTCCATTGACTACAGGTATGGGAGTTCTCTGACATTTGGGATATTTAATATCTGCAGTGTGCAAGGTATGAACATTTTCAAAGTCTTTGGTGACAGGATCACAAAGCCCACATCGTGATTGTGCTAGTTCAGAGAAAGGTATATATGAATATAAAAATGAGGCTTAACAAATATCCACTTAATGAAGACAGGCGGAGTAATTGTCCATCATCATGAAGAAAAAAAGTTTTTTATAAATAAAAAATGAATTCATCTAAACATTATGGAGATTTTAAACACTTTATAATATATTCTGGCAATATACATATTTTAAGTATTCTGGAGGCACAACCCTAAAAAGAAATTGTGGTAGTGCTGGATTTTTACCTTTTGCAAACACTGAAAGGCAGCACTGAAAGGAACTTTACATGTTCATCTCTTAGAAGAGCCTGCGTTTCTCTAGAATTACTTACGGTGAAACTTCAACCAAAAAAAATCAGGAGAGTATATTTTTACTTGGCTTGCCACAATTAGATCTCACAATTCTGTACTGTAAAGGAGTTATGAGCTTCAGCATGCAAGGTCAAAGGTAAATACTTGTAGTCACAAAGTTTCCCATATATTAGGTGCGAAGTATAGTAAAGTTTTAGGATTTTAATGCATAAACTTTCATCAATCCCTTTTGAAAACAAATTGAGGTTTGATGATAATTTTTTGCATATAAAAGAACTACCAGTGGTCGTTTATGAATGTGTTGGAATTTATAACAGATTTTTCAGACTACAATTTTTTAAATTTAGTTTTGAGCACTTAAGTATGGCCTGCTTGTCTGGCAATGTTTTCATGAGTTTTGTTTTATCTCATTTTTTATCTCTAGCTTTAAGAAAATTGGTTATTCTGAAGCAAATTGGTTGAAGAGGAATATTTTTCATCTACTAGTTCACCCACATACAGTGTTTGCACTCCCCAGAAACGATTTCACAACTTCTAAATATTTTTTAAACGCAATTTGTTTCCTTTTTAAGTTACTTTGCTTTCTTTAAAATGTCAATTTATTTTTAGTGACACTTAGTTTTACTTAATTGGCTATGCCTTCATCACTTAAAAACCTATTTCTTTCATATTTGAGAAGCTTTTACTTCACTTTAACATAACTTTGATTGCTCTGTGATGCTCTGGTGCCATCATTTAGTCCAATTTCTACCATTAAAATTGAAGCTGTAGGGAAAATATGTGCAATTTCGACGAAAGTTCAGGAGCTATGCAGAAATCAATTTAACAAATCAAAAAGCAAATAATTTAGGGAGTTAACAAAATTACTTTAGTAATCCAGACTGAAAAAGTATTTGAGGCTAGATAAACATAGTTAATATATGAAGTATTGTTAAAGATTCTAATTTCTGACTATTTTGTTTCAGACAGTTCATTTAGAGCCATCATTGCATGATACACGTGTTTAGACCACATACTGTCTGGACCCTGATTCCATGTCGTCCAACCTCGGGAGTACAATCTGACTTTCCATGCAGATCCTGCGCAGCAGAGAAACATGTTCCTGAGCAGACATCAGCAGTGCCTGACAATTACATTACACGCTATAAATTTATGTGTGGCTTGAGATTCTGGATATTTGTCAGTTTCTAGTGCATTCCATTAAGATGAACAAGGTCCCAGAATCTGAACATCAATGGTTAAAGAATAAATTGACTTTCTAGTCAAATCCTGGACCCTACCTAAGTACAAGCACCCATCAAGGTACTCCTTATAATCTTATTCCTGAATAATTTCTCTTCATCTACAAGGCATATTTAAAATACTCAATTACCAATCATAGTCAGGATATACAGCATGATAGTCATTCATACCTATCGATGGCTCTGAATTGGTATTTGAGCATTTCCAGTTTTGGAGGTTTTATCTTTTTGTTTTTGTCAGGCAGCAGAGAAGCATGTGTGGGTATATAAGTATTCACATATTCGGACATTTATTTAATAGTCTTATTGTGCCACAGTGTCAGGCACTAGAGCAGCTCTGGAGGTGGGGGTGTAGCAGTAAACAAGGCAGGCATGGCCTGATGCTGAGAACTCAGTCTATAGGGGTAACAAGCACTAGACACTAAATCACACAATTCATCATTCATTGCAAAGGTGAAAAGTGTCAACAGCCAAACGCATCTTCTCTGGGGAGTCACGGAAGGTTTCTCAGGAGAAGTGAGGTTTAGCTGAGATCTGAGAGAGAGTAGGATTTAACCAAATTAGGAATTGAAAAGACCAGCATGGCTTGCATAGGGGATAAGTAGGAAATGGACCCTGAAAAGGCAGGAACAAGATTGTGGTGAGCCCTGGTGTGCTGAACGGGAGAATCCATTGTTCATCCTAAGAGCCACTGAAGGGCTGCAAGGAGGATAAAGACACTTTTCATTTTCAGTTATAAATTATTGCTCTGACTGACTAGGTGCAGTGGCTCATGCCTGTAATCCTGTCCCTTTGGGAGGCAGAGGCAGGTGGATTGCTTGAACCTAGGAATTTGAGACAAGCCTCTGTAACATGGCAAAACTCTGTCTCTACAAAAAATACAAAAAAAATTGCCAGGCGTGGTGGTGCACACCTGTAGTCCCAGCTACCCAAGAGGCTGAGGAGGGAGGATCCCCTGAGCCTAGGAGTTCCAGGCTGAAGTGATCTGTGATATCACCATTCCAGCCTGGACAATAGAGTGAGATCTTGTCTCAAATATATGTGTATATATATTGCTCTGACTGCTTTGTGGAGGATAAACTGGAGAAGGCAAGAGTAGAGAAGGGAAAACAGGAGGCAGAAATTCTGACAAGAGGTGATGGTGACCCAGGCGAGGCCAATGGCAGTGTCTATAGATAGACAGGCTGGGGGAAAGAATTGCCAGGACTTGGTAATTGGCTATGGGGGAGATGGAGAGGCAGGTGGTAAGCCTGGCCCCCAGGGGCATGTCTTGAATAACTGAGTGGAAGGTAGAACTAGTCACTGGTACAGGAGTGAATGAGTTATAAGGGGTAGCACAGACATAACATATTTTTTTTCCTTAAGATTTTTTTCCCTTTCCATGCTCATACTCTTGTTCTGAGAATGACTATGGAAAGGTATACTCAGGGGCATAAGTGACAGTGATTTGTGCCCCTGAACTGGAATGGGAAATAGTACTCAATAATGGTTGTCAGTCAGATTCTGGGAAAGATGTGCCTTTAGTTTCAAAGAAGTAATTTATACACTAAGGCTTAAAAATAAATTATAAATTGTTAATCTAGCTGAATCCCAATAATAAAACGGAATACCAAATCCATTTTAAAAATATAACTTCAACCTAAGTGCCCATCAATGGATGACTGGATAAAGAAAATGTGGTATATATCAACAATGGAATACTATTCAGCCATAAAAAAGAATGAAATCATGTCTTCTGCAGCAACATGGATGGAACTGGAGGCCATGATCTTGAGTAAAACAAGTCAAGTACAGAAAGACAAATATCACATGTTCTCACTTATATGTGGAAGATAAATAATGCATACACATGGATGCAGAGTGTGGAGTGCTAGACAATGGACACCGGAAAGGGAGAAGGGGCTGGGTGATGAGAAATTACTTAATGAGTACAATATATGTTATTTGGGTGATGGATATCCTAAAAGCTCTGACTTTACCACTACGCAATCTACGTATATAACAAAATTATACTTGGACTCCGTATATTTATACAAAAATAAATAAATAAATAAATAAATAAAGGCATACCCTCAGACTTAAATGAAATTAACCCACGAATTCTCAAAAGGGCTTTTCACCAGGGTATAATTTTTGAGCAGCCCCTTACCTTGACACTAAGTCCCCTATACCTGGCCCTACCCCCTCTTAACCCCACCCCTAGTGAGTTCCTGCCTCACCCCCCAACACCCTAAAAGCTGCCTCTCATCTCCTAAATTTTGCTCTGTTTTTCCCTTCACTTTCCATATCCTTTCCTCTCGTGTACCCACTTTCCAGGCTACCTCCTACTTATCCTTTAAGCTCTGCCTCAAAATCATTGGCTATGGAAAGCCTTAACTCGTTAATAACCCATTCAGGCTGGAGTGGGTGTTTCTCTTATTCTGTTGAAACTACAATTATTGCCCACAGGCCTGTCTCTCACACTAGACTCCAACCTCTTTGTACTCCCAGGACAGAGTGTGGTACTCAGCACAGAGTAGTTGCTTAATACATGTTTAATTGAACTGAGCTCAAACTGACCCCTCTAATGCAGAACTTTGGAGTGAACATCTCCTGCTCTACACTCCCACTGTAACTCTATCTCAGTCTACACTCAAAGTTCTCTCTTTGTGCATCTCCACCTTCCCCACTGCCCCACTTGGCAGGTAGTTAGTTCTTAGAGGGATGTAAAGAGTATGGGTTTTTCACCATTTGTATGCTACCCTTCCCTCTCCTCTATCACACAGCATCCTTGCCTGCATCTTGCACTTGGAAGATACACAATGACTGTTTATAGCCATGAATTGCCACGTGCATATGTGGCCAAGGTCCCTGCCCTGCTCGTCTTGAGAGGAATTTTGCCACCCCATTCAGGAATGTCATCACTAGGGATAACAACGCAGGTGAGCCCAGGCTCCTTGCCACTACAGCAGGCAGGCAGTCTTGTAACAACTTGTAAAGATCTTCTTGGTTTCTCGTCTTGACTTTTCAACCAGAAAGTAGTCTTTTCCAAGAACAGTCTTTTCCAAAAGAGATGCTCACATCCTTGACTAGATTTGAAAGTTAACTTAACAGCCATTATGCATAATTCCCTAATCACCCCCTTTCTTCCTCATCTAATTGTGTTTATTCCAACCAGCATACAATCAAGATGCAATGCCTTTCAGCACAGGAGACAGTCTTTTCTAACTGCCAAGGAGAAGGGAAAATGTTCTTTTCTTTTTTCTTTTTCTTTTTTTTGAAATGAAGTCTCTCTCTGTTGCCCAAGCTGGAGTGCAGTAGCGTGATCTTGGCTCACTGCAGCCTCTGCCTCCCAGGTTCAAGCGATTCTCCTGCCTCAGCCTCCTGAGTAGCTGGGATTATAGGTACGCATCACCATGCCTGGGTAATGTTTTGTATTTTTAGTAGAGACGGGGTTTTGCCATGTTGGCCAGGCTGGTCTTGAACTCCTGACCTCAGCTAATCTACCTGCCTTTGCCTCCCAAAGTGCTGGGATTACAGGTGTGAGCCACCACGCCCAGCTGGAAAATGTTCTTTTGAAGAGAATTATTAACAAACAATCTCTGTATAGTGGCCATGAACGCATCTGAGCTCATGGGAAACCACTCTGGTCTTAAGGACTTTGTAAGTACCATTCCATGTGTCAGAACCTCTTCTTCTTCTTCTTTTTTTGGAGACAGAGTCTCACTCTGTCACCCAGGCTGGAGTGTAATGGCACAGTCTTGGCTCACTGCAACCTCCACCTACTGGGTTCAAGTGATTCTCATGCCTTAGCCTCCTGAATAGCTAGGACCACAGGCACACACCACAATACCCAGCTAGTTTTATTGTGTTTTAGTAGAGACAGGGTTTTACCATGTTGCCCAGGCTGGTCTTGAATTCCTGAGATCAGGCAATCCGCTCACCTCAGCCTCCCAAAGTGCTAGTATTACAGGCATGAACCACAGTGCCCAGTCCCAGAACCTCTTCTTAAACACATCCTTATTGCTCATTCATTCAGCTCTCCACTCACTCATCACCAGCTATCGCCATATGACACACGGCATATTTGCTTGGTTTGGGTGTTGTTTTATTTCCACCCCCTGACTGTAAGCTCTATGTAAACAGGGGGTTCATTTGATTTGCTGCTGTGTTCTTCTCAGAGTATTTGCTGAATAAATGGGTAAGTGAATAACACATATAATTTGAAAACTTCCTGAGTGGGAAGAACAAAACCCATGAAAAGAAATGGAGACGTTTTGCAACCATATGTGGAATCAGAATCTCACCTCTCTGATTCCTCACCTGGTTCTCTCTGATAAGTCATCTTATTTGAAATAGGTTATTCAGCTTGTGTCATAATTTGATCCACGGGGTAAAACAAGAAGATGCTTGATGTTTTAGGTAAACTAAAGAATTATCCTCTCTTAATTCCTACCTCTCAGCCCTCAGCCCCCTACATTTAGAAAGCCATTATTCTGATGTAAATTAAGGATCATCTATATGCCATCAGGCATCTACAAGACATTTTGTTCTGTTAAAGGTTCAAGTACACACAGTGTGAAGAGCACTCAGGAGAGTCTGCCACATCATTATTTCTGTCTCCTCACACAGCACACTGAGCACTAGTTCTGAAGGGGAGCAGCTCCTAGGCTGCCTGTACCACCCAGCTCCCCATCGGCTGCAACTGGAGAGCATGCAGGCACCACTTGAAATGCCCAATTACCAGCAACTCATTTTGCGTCCCCTCTTTGGAACAAATATGATCAAAATAAATGTCTTGCTATGGCAGGAGAAGCCATCATTCTTCTGAGAGGGCTCAGCAGAAACTCATTAGCAGGTGTACGGACTGTGCTTCCACTGAGAGCTGCAATCCTGTCACCTGGCAGACCCAAAGTTGGGTGGAAGCCAGCTGAGGGTCCAGAGACCCAAAGTCTCAGCTGCCCCTAACCCTGGGCCTCTCCAGCCCCAGCCCACCTGCACCCGTCCCCTCCCAGCAGAGCGGAGGCTGGGTCCTCCCACCTCTCTGAGAGAACCTCCTCTGCCTGGTACCTTGCTGTCTGTTTCTGGAGGCACTATACTTTTTAACACTAAGGCTTCAAACTCTTGCCAACAGTTTTGAACTTCAGAATGCTTAAGAATCACCTGGGGTTCTTTTTAAATTATAGGCTCCACCTCATTCCCAAATTCTGAATCAAGAAATGTAGAACACGGCCTGATAATCTGTTTTTAAAAAGCCCTCCACTCTGCCCAGATGATTTTAATGCAGGGGTCCAAGTATCACACTTTGAAAAATATAGTTACATATTCACATGTGATGCCTCCCTCATTTTCTGTAACAAATGGAAAATAATTTTTAGTGATTTTTTTTCCATTTTGGGTTTCCTTGCATCCAATACAGGAGCACCCAGATTCATAAAGCAAGTTCGCAGGGACCTACAAAGAGAGACTCCCACACAATAATAGTGGGAGACTTTAACACCCCACTATAAATATTAGACAGATCAACAAGACAGAAAATTAACAAGGATATCCATGACTTGAACTCAGCTCTGGACCAAGCGGACCTAATAGACATCTACAGATCTCTCCACCCCAAATCAACAGAATATACATTCTTCTCAGGACCACATCGCACTTATTCTAAAATTGACCACATAATTGGAAGTAAAACACTCCTCAGCAAATGCAAAAGAACGGAAATAATAACAAGCAGTCTCTCAGACAACAGTCCAATCAAATTAGAACTCAGGATTAAGAAGCTCACTCAAAACCACACAACTACATGGGAACTGAGCAACCTGCTCCTGAATGACTACTGGGTAAATAATGAAATTAAGGCAGAAATAAAGAAGTTCTTTGACACCAATGAGAACAAAGACACAACGTACCAGAATCTCTGGGACACAGCTAAAGCAGTGTTCAGATGGAAATTTATAGCACTAAATGCCCACAGGAGAAAGCGGGAAAGATCTAAAATTGACACTGTAACATCACAATTAAAAGAACTAGAGAAGCAAGAGCAAACAAATTCAAAAGCTAGCAGAAGACAAGAAATAACTAAGATCAGAGAAGAACTGAAGGGGATTGAGACATGAAAAACCCTTCAAAAAATCAGTGAATCCAGGAGCTGATTTTCGAAAAGATTAACAAAATAGATAGATCACTAGCCAGACTAATAAAGAAAAAAAGAGAGAAGAATCAAATAGACACAATAAAAAATGATAAAGGGGATACCACCACTGATCCCACAGAAATATAAACTATTATCAGAGAATACTATAAATACCTCTACGCAAATAAACTAGAAAATCTAGAAGAAATGGATAAATTCCTGGGCACATACATCCTCCCAAGACTAAAGAAGTTGAATCCCTGAATAGACCAATAACAAGTTCTGAAATTGAGGCAGTAATTAATAGTCTACCAACAAAAAAACGTCCAGGACCAGATGGATTCACAGCCGAATTCTAACAGAGATACAAAGAGGAGCTGGTATCATTCCTTCTGAAACTATTCCAAACAATAGAAGAAGAGGGACTCCTCCCTAACTCATTTTATAAGGCCAGCATCATCCTGATACCAAACCCTGTCGGAGACACAACAAAAAAAGAAAATCTCAGGCCAATATCCCTGATGAACATTGACGCAAAAATCCTCAATAAAATACTGGCCAAATGAATCCAGCAGCACATCCAAAAGCTTATCCACCATGATCAAGTCAGCTCCATCCCTGGGATGCAAGGCTGGTTCAACATACGCAAATCAATAAACATAATCCATCACATAAACAGAATCAATGACAAAAACCACATGATATCTCAATAGAGGCAGAAAAGGCCTTTGATAAAATTCAACACCCCTTCATGCTAAAACTCTCAATAAACTAGGTATCTCAAAATAATAAAAGCTATTTATGACAAACCCACAGCCAATATCATACTGACTGGGCAAAAGCTAGAAGCATTTCCGTTGAAAATCGGCACAAGACAAAGATGCCCTCTCTCACCACTCCTATTCAACATAGTATTGGAAGTTCTGGCCAGGGCAATCAGGCAAGAGAAAGAAATAAAGGGTATTCAAATAGGAACAGAGGAAGTCAAATTGTCTTTGTTTGCAGATGACATGATTATACATTTAGAAAACCCCATCGTCTCGGCCCAAAATCTTAAGCTGATAAGCAACTCCAGCAAAGTCTCAAGATACAAAATCAATGCAATTGATTTTTTGCACAATTCTGGAATGTGCAAAAATCACAAGCATTCCTGTAAACCAATAATAGAGAGCCAAATCATGAGTGAACTCCCACTCACAATTGCTACAAAGAGAATAAAATACCTACGTATACAACTACAAGGGATGTGAAGGACCTCTTCAAGGAGAACTACAAACCACTGCAGAAGGAAATAAAAGGACACAAATAAATGGAAAAAGATTTCATGCTCATGGATTTACAAACAAGAAAGTGATGAACTGACAGGGTCTTAATTTCAGAAAGGCTCTCATTTTTGAAAGCATGATGCAGAACAACCACAGGTGTGGTTTTATACTTTTTCTTAGCTTTAGTTTAGAGTAGCCACAGAAAAGTCAGATTACAGCAGTTCCCTGATAGTTGGAGTCTGGAATGCCACCCTCCCCTTGGGGAGGCCTTTCACACACCCTCCTTGCAGCCCCTCTGCAGCTCTCCAGGACAACAGCTATAAAATCAGCATGAGGGTAAAGAGGACACCATGGATATTGCACAATTCACGGCCCAGATCATCTCTGAGAGTAATGGAGAGTTCACTGAAATAGCAACGCCTCTCCTTTGTGCCTTCAGAGGCTGGTACCTCACTCTGTCTCAATCATAGACTGCCTCCTGTGCTCTCCTGTGCTCAGGAGTGATATATTTATCAGGATAGCTCCAGATGGCAGGAGTAGGCAACTGATTCACTTGCTTCTCCACTCCCGGCAGGCCCCACAAGGGCTTCAGAACTGCAGCCAGCACATCAGTAGTGCCCATTTCTCCTGGGACTGAGGTGTTGCCTCTGATAACTCAACTGATGCTCCAGTCAGAAGAGGACTCTTCAAGGGGAGTTATGACAGCCCAAGAAGTGGGGGCATGCTCGAAGGCCCATCTGTTCCTGGGACTGATTGCACAGTGACTATCCCCCTATTCAGAGAGTGTCACAGTCAGTGATAAGAATGCTCAACTCTCCCTCCACTCTGCCTGACCACTTCAGGCACCCAGCATCAGAGGCCCCTCTAATGACACCTGTGAAGGGAACAGATATCCCAAAGACATGTACAGTTGGCTCTCAATTTTCCATGTGTATTTCACTACACTGGAAATATACAATGGATTACATTGTATTATATAATACAGTAGATAAATTAGATTATACTTGGATTATACCTGGTTGATACCACAAAAGAATGAAAGGAGAGTGAATTGTTATTTTATATGTATAATCCTGGAGTTACACGGTAGCCACAGAAAAGTCAAACAGGTGTTTGAACACGAGTGCGTCCACCCGAGCAGCTTCTCTGCAGCTCTGCAGAGCCCATCCTAGGACAACTAAGCCCATCCTTAGTTTTCCTATGGTGAACTAAGAGGCAGATGACAGTGAGCCTGGATCTCAGTCCCCATCTCCCAGCCAGCTCCCCCCACACTAGTATATTAGTCCTCCAGCAAAGATCCCAGGGTCCTCTGGAAGACAGAAACAGAGAAAGTACAAGGAGAAAAGAATGGGTTATTTCATCTGAAAGGGCATTTGTAGCAAGATTGTCCTTTTGTGGTCAGAAACATAACCATTTCTTTATTATTAGTGGTAAAGGAAAAAGCAACAACTGATGTCATAATACAAAAAAAAAGAAACTACATAAAGTCAGGAATAACCTGTAATCATGAAACATACACTGAACAACAGCCCAGGTTTTAAATCTGATTTTCCTGGTCCAACCTTGTCAAGGAATCCTCTGAAGTTTCCTGTACTCCACTTCACCTTCACTCTGGCAGGCCACGTGCATCCCAGATGGACCGTATGTGGAGTCCAAGCCTGACAGTGCTTGGATAACCCCCCACCCCCAAGCTGTCTAGCAATCATTGCCTGAGTGTGGGTCAAGCTCACCAAAAGAAAAATGTGCCATATTGGCCCTAATCCTAACCCATATTGACACTTTGGGAGGCCGAGGCGGGCGGGTCACCTGAAGTCAGGAGTTCAAGACCAGCCTGGTCAACATGGTGAAACCCCGTCTCCACCAAAAATACAAAAATTAGCTGGGTGTGATGGCACATGCGGTTAATCCCAGCTACTTGGGAGGCTGAGGAACAAGAATCGCTTGAACCCAGAAAGCGGAGGTTGCAGTGAGCCAAGATCACACCACTATACTCCAGCCCAGGCGGCAGAGCGAGACTCTGTTTCCAAAAAACAAAACAAAACAAAAGAAAAATGTGCCACATGACTACGAGGAATTGCAGTTCCTGAGACTGAGTCTCCCTTTACAATACCACGTGGTGAGAAGGCCAGTCTATACAGTCACTTAGGCAAGAAATATGCAATTCACAGGTCCAGTTTTTGTTCTGTGTTTTGGTAGGGTTCTGTGGAGCAGTTGAGAGCTGAATTTCATTATGTCCTTCTATAAATCTGGGCTCTCCTAAGCCTGATCACCTAGGTCAGGGACTTGAGCTCGGTCTGCCTCCTAGAATGGATAATGGACACCGGGGCTCAGAGCCTGTTACCTGCTGTACATCCTGCTGGAAGACGCAGAGCTGCAGCCGCTGGTGGAGCCGCACCTTGCGGTGCTGCCAGATGCTCTCCAGCCGTCGCTGGTGATGTAACACCTCATGCACCACGTCCAGCACCTGGTGCACTGCCTTGGAGTAGTTGGCTGTGGCCGTGAGGGATTCGGAGTTCCCAGGGCTCAGGGGCCGCTGCAGCACATCAAGTAGTGCTTTGCCATCCTGGCTGACCTGCAGGAAAGAGAGAAGTTTAAGTTAAGGGAAAAGGGTGATAGGCAGGGCACAGAGAGAAGCAGGAAGTGTCTGCCTGAGGGTCCCTGACTAGGCCTTCTGAGAATCTCAGGCATTCCATACCCAGACACCTAGCCAGCCAGAGCTGCCATGGGGCCCATCCTCCGGCCTGGTGGAGGGCAGAGCAGCTGGAATCCCCTGATGTGGGAGTTGCTGGAGTGCTGGCCAGTTGTCTGTGAGACTCTCTCCCCTCCTGAATTTCAGCACTGTGAGGGCAGAGATACTGCCTACTTGCTGCTCTCGCCCCAATGCCCAAAACAGTGCCTGGCACACAGTAGGCATTTGGTAAATTTTTGTTTGTTTGTTTGTTTTTGAGACAAAGTCTTACTCTTGTCCCCAGGCTGGAGTGCAATCAATGGTGCGATCTCGGCTCACTGCAACCTCTGCCTCCCGGGTTCAAGCGATTCTCCTGCCTCAGCCTCCTGAGTAGCTGGGATTACAGGTGCCTGCCACCACACCTGGCTAATTTCTGTATTTTTAGTAGAGACGGGGTTTCACCATGTTGGCCAGGCTGGTCTTGAACTCCTAACCTCAGGTGATCCGCCCACCTCAGCCTCCCAAAGTGCTTGGATTACAGGTGTGAGCCACAGTGCCCAGGCTTGGTAAACATTTTAACTGACTCACACCAGGTCAGACAGCATAACTTCATTTCAGAAATGAAGTCAATGTAAGTTCCCACCATAATCCTCTCCTCCTCTTTCTTTCCCAAATTCCTCTATTTGGCTCTAAAATTCTAGATGTGTGACAAGAGGCAAGTTATTTAACCTCCTGGGTCCTCAGTTTCCTTGTCTGTAAAGGAGGGATATTTATGTACATATTTCATAAAGTCATGGTGAGGATTAAATGAGTTAACACACATACCGTATTTAGAATAGAGCCTGACAAGTGATACTGGCTACCAATTTTATCTTCATCATCATCACCATTGATATGGTTTGTCTGTGTCCCCATTTAAATCTCATCTTGAATTGTAGTTCCCATAATCACCACGTGTTGTGGGAGGGACCTGGTGGGAGGTAACTGAATCATGCGGGTGGGTTTTTCCAGTGCTGTTCTCATGTTAGTGAATAAATCTCATGAGATCTGATAGTTTTATAAAAGGGCAGTTCCCCTGCACTCACTCTCTTGACTGCCACCATGTAAGACATGACTTTGCTCCTCCTCCTCTTTCTGCCATGATTGTGAGGCCTCCATGGCCATGTGAAACTGTGAGTGCATCAAACCTCTTTTTTTTCTTTTTTTATAAATTACCCAGTCTCAGGTATGTCTTTATTAGCGGCATGAGAACAGACTAATACAACCATCATCATCATCATCTCTCTCCCATCCTCTTTATTTCCTTGTCATTTTCTTTCGTCTTTATCCTTTTAAAATACTTTGCTCTCGCTCTATACGAGCCCTTTCTTTCTCCTGAAAAGCAGTACAATCCTCATTTTTCTAGAACATGCAGAGAAAGGCTGGGACACTTAGACAGTGGACACACCATCCACTTTCCTCGGTTCCCCAACACTCGCCCACAGTCTGAGAAAAGTGGGATGACACTCTCTGCCATTCTTCTCATTGGAGTTCTGGCACAATCACGGGCATCAATAATTCTGGAAAATGACACATACAATCAACACCTATGGCCCTCCTGTGCTTGACAAAGTACCCAACAGAACATGCATCTTTCCAATTTAAAACAGGGATGACTGGGAATTGATAGAAATGTTGAGTCCCCAAATTTGGTTACCAACTAAATCAAAGCTGGCTTGGAGCCTTCCCCAAAAGAAGGCTTTTGGAGATGAAAATGGTCTTTTATCTCACCAGCAAGGTAGGGAATGAGGTGTGTGTGCTTCCATCTCCACACCTCTGATGATGAAGCTGTTTGCCGGGTTTGCATCCTCCCCTCACCCCTCCTTTGGTCCCTGATAATAGCTTGGATGGGGGTCCAGGAATACAGAAGCAGATGTTACTCCTGCCCATGGGGCCACAGAAATGCTTTCAGGGCAGGGTGGTTAGGAGGGGTGCTGCGGTAGAGTGCAGCAGAGGCCAGGAGAGGAAATCACCACCACCCACCCAATCCTGCCATCCCCATCTCCCATAATTGACTGCCAGGGGAGTGGGGTGGGGGAAGTAGCTTATACATAATGCAGAGGTGATGCCCACCAGAGACATAAATAAGACAAATATCCTATAGTGAAACCCAGGAGAGCTCTCTTTCTGGAATTCTGAGCAAATGCTGTCTTTTGGCACCATGCTATGTCCAGGGTAGGGCAGTTAGAGATGGAGTCCCAAGTCCTAGAAATCCACCCCACATGAGCTCTAATCCTCTGCCTCAGTCTCTACATCTGTAGGAAGCATGGACAGCTCACTGGCCTCTGAAGTGGGCTTGGAGGGAAGGTTTAAGCCTCACAACGCTAGGGCCTGATAATTAATTGAGAGAAATATTGTGTCTATATGTATAATTACACCCACACCTCACATATGTGGAAGTATAATATTAATCTCATTTGTACTCTCTATATTTGTATTTTGCAAGGAGTAAATTTAAAGATTCTTGACCCATGGGCAGAGGCACAGTTCTAAGACAGAAAGCTTTGAGCCATATGGATCAGAGCTGATGAGATCAGATTTGGCTTGTAAGTCCTTCGTTGTACCTTCTACAATGACAGAATACATTACCATTTTTTAGTATTCATTACTGTCAGACACTGGGCCAAGTGCATTACATACATTACCTTCATTTTATTTTTTTAAATTTTTGTTGGGTACAATGATTGATTTATTTATTTAAATAGTTTTGGGGAACAGGTGGTGTTTGGTTAGCTCCCACTTAAAAGTGAGAATATGCCATACTTGGTTTTCCATTCCTGAGTTACTTCACTTAGAATAATGGTCTCCAACTCCATCCAGATTGCTGTGAATGCCATTATTTTGTTCCTTTTTATGGCTGAGTAGTATTCCATGGTGTATTTATACCACATTTTCTTTATCCATTCATTGGTTGATAGACATTTAGGCTGGTTCCATATTTTTGCAATTGTGAATTGTCATGCATTACCTTTATAACCTCAACACTATCCTATGAGACAGGTGTTACTACTTTGATTTCACAGATGAAACCAGGCTCAAAGTGGTTAAGTAACTTGCCTGAGGTCACACAGCTAGTAAATAGGAGAGCCAGGATTCAAACTCAGTTTGACTGTGGCAAAAACCCTTACTCTTACCTAGGAGCCATTGGTTCTTAGACTTCAATGTGCATCAAACTCACCTAGGGTAATAGTTATTAAAATGTAGGTTCCAGGTCTCACTTCTTGATATTCTGATTCAGTCTGGGGTGGGACCCAGGAATCTGTATCAGGTGAGTCCGATGCAGGTGGTCCAGGAACCCATTTTAATACTCCTCTAACTAATCCTGCCCAGAGGAAACACATGGGTTGGATGTGAATTCACTTCTTCTCCTCATCCAGCTTCCTTAATCAGCCCATCTCTCTCCATCCCTCAGTCCCCTTCCTCAGAATTCATGCCAGTTAGCAAACATACTAACTTATGTGTATCTACACAGATATACCTATGTAGCTGTTTCCTTTTACTTTGAGAGGACTGTCAAGAGGTTTTTTCCCTTTCTTAACTTTACAGTAACCCCCTGCCTTTGATTTTTCAATGGAAGAGTCTTTGTCCTTCACATTCATGGAAGCTTCTTACTCCTGCAAACACTTATCTCCACCCTGTGTGTTTTCCTCTGGATCGTCTAGTGAGAAAATTAATCTTTTTTTAATGAGCTGCTTCATAAAAAAGGTGGCAGGGCTAGTGTGTACATCTCCACTCACCAACCAGAAAGCAACCTCCAGAGAAGCACAGCTTCATTTTCTTATATTCCTCCCCCAAGAGGAGAAAGTCCAATCTTCACACACAGGATGAGGCAGGTGTATGGGGTGTGTGTGTGTGTGTGTGTGTGTGTGTGTGTGTGTGTGTGAGAGAGAGAGAGAGAGAATGAATGCGAGTGCACCAAAGTGGTGCCTAATAATGGCCCCAATTTTTTCTGCTTCCTGGCTGGAGACACCATAGTTCATAGATCAAGGTTCCTAAAGATGTCACCAAAAAAAAAGAAAAACAGCCTCTTCTTCTTAGTCCCACCCAGGCTATTTCACAGGGCACAGGCCAGTGCCCTCATCACCCACCCACATGCAGACATGCCCAAGAACCATGGTTGCCCTGCTCCATTCTCACCTCTGTGTAGGCTTGGGTCACCTGCTCATACAAGGTCTGGTGGTGGTGGATTGCCAGCTCTAGGTCTTGCATCTCGGATGGCAGACCACCTTCACTGCACATCTTGCACCAGGCATCCACTCCCGACAGGAACTGGAAGGAGATGCAGGGTGGATCAGTGGGGGAGCACTGGGGGTGAGGAGTTGGGTGGATTATGGAGAGAGGGTCAGATACCTTGGGAAGAAACATCAGGACTTCTGAAAGCCTTCAGAGACCACTGTAGAGGGTAGAGTTTTTTTAATTCTATGAACACTAACTCCTAGTAAGAAATCAGACCCAGGCACCCATTTAGGAAGTATAGTCTCCACAAAATTGACTATTATGAAACTGTAGGTGGCAGGTGAATCATCAGATGTTCAATAGGTTATAGATACACACTAACTGTAATGTCCAGGTATGGAAACAGCTCACCACATTCCACGGATACATTAGAGCTTCTTGCCCCACGCACACTCACAGGCACACGTGAGGGGCTGTGTGTAATGTAAGGAGATGTTCCACATCTGTGCTTTACAGTATGTACATCCAGTTGTGAAGACAAGCAAAAAACACCTCACACAGACCACCAGGAACCCCAGGAAACTTGCAGAGACCATCCCATATGGGACGGAAACTGCCCTCAACAGGTCTCCCACTGTTGGGTCAGTCCCCTGAAGGGTGGAAACGAGAGAGGCAGTCTAGGGGGACAGGCTGTGCTACACCTACTGCATCCCAGGTTGTGATATATAGACATAGATCTTGACAGACATCAAATTATTTAAAAATTAAAATTAACAACTGTGGAAGACTATGGGTCTTCACGCACAAAGGGTAAGCTAACTGAAATCACTCAGATTTATTGGGTGGAAAAATGCACCTTTAAAATGCAAATAATTCACCCAACAGTCTGGAATCGTTCTGTCTGTGATTCCTCTCGTCTGGATGCACAGCTCCATTTAAATTAATTGCCTAAAGACCTCTTTATCCCATTGCCAAGAACAGCCCATATGAGGACAATAAAGAGCTGCCTAAATAAATACATGGAAAAAATAACTTTGAGTCATGTTTTTCCCCAGTTAAAAAGAAGCATGGTTTATGAATGTCCCTGAAGGACTAGTAATACCTGCAGAAATTGCATTAAAAAATAGATACAAATAAAATCGCTTCTGATCCAAACCAGTCCAGTCAGGAAACATGAAATAAACGTGCACTTCTCCAGTTTTCTCAGTTCTGGTACAGCAACCGTTTGCGTTCTAGTTTTGTTGTCACTGTCAGCTTTCAGTCCCTGGCCTGTTGATTGTTGTGGTTGACTTCATTCTGTACATTTTGTAACACACTAGACCATTTCTAAGCAATTCTGGAAGAGTGCCAGGTGCCATCGAGTATCAGATCATATAATATGTACATGCTAAGATCTCAGAAGCTTCTTTGCTCCACCAATAACTACTTTACAAATGACCCTGGGAGCAACTTGACATTCTTGTGTCAATCATGGGGGGAACACTCCTTCAAGGCTCATGGGATTTCTCTGCAATATTCTAACAGGTGGCCTGTAGCATATCCCACAAAACGATCACCTCAAGGAGATAATGCCAGAGAGACAAAGAGAGAAGCAGTTGGGTCTTCCTTACCAATCTGGGCAAACCTTGAATAAAGTATGTAAGTGATAAGGTTGAAGACAGAACAGGAGATTGGACAGCAATATTCTCATGGCCCTAAGAATGAACCAGTCACTATCAGTCACTACCACCAACAACCTTAACAACGGCGACAAAAAGATATGGCCAAATCCCTCTCAAAGTATAGGGTTGTGCTTGACACAAGTATTATTTCAGTCTTTAGGAAGTTCTTAGGTGGAAATAGACACAAATGGAGGAAATAAAAAGATACCAGGATAGTATGTGGTGCAAATACCCATAGTAGTAATGTCCACTGTTTAGTAAGCACACGAGGCACCTTACATATTCCATCTCTCGTGTTGTATCTTTAGCACAGCCCTGTGCCATTTATGATTAGCTCCACATTACGGAAGAGGAAACAAGCTCAGAATGGTGATGTGACTTGCCTAAGGGTGAATGAATGGTGGAGCTGGGATCAGAATCCATGTGTCTTGCCTCAAAGTCTAGACTCTTAATTATGCCATGTTGCTTTCCACACTAGAGAGGGTAACAGAGGGAGAAATTTAAGGTGTGACCAGGTGTCTGACTCTCCTTGGCCTATATTACCCAAATGTGATGCAAAGAAAGAATTGTAGAAGTTAAGACCACAGGCCTAGTGTAAAACACACCTGAGGTGATAGCCTATCTACTCATAGATTGTGTGATTTTAGCAGTGGTGTGTTAGAAAATGTTTAACAACCAGCATATATATGTGTGTGTGTATATGACTATATATTACATATACACAGGTAAGTTCATTTACAAATCCTACTGATATAAAGAATGTATAAAACACAATTTACAGAGAACAACAGCATATACAATACTCTGTATTGTATATTTAATGTAGCCAGTTGATTCTCACAGGATGCTTTTGACCTATGGTTGCAACTGACAAACATGTATAGTTCTGACACACATGCTGGTTGATATTTTCACTATGTTAAGGAGTGAGACAAAGGTGAAAAGCACCTGAATACTACGCCAGAACATCACTTGTTCATCAAGGATGTCAGCAACTTCTTTGCTGAACCAAATAACAGTTTTTGAATATTGGAAGAATATTTCCTTGATTTTTGTGTGTTATTTACAACGTAACAGCTATACACAGGACACATTTTTAAGTTTAGTCTGCATTTTCAAACACTTTCTCCCTCATTTTCTTAAGACTCTAGGCAACAATAAAGCAATAAATCAATCCCTGGTTTGTAGCATCTGATAATTTCTATAATATGAAACTCCTACCATGGTGTATTTTAAGCTACCAATGTGACATCACCAACATGGAGTTGGGAAGAGGTGATCCATACATAGCACACAATTGTACGGTATTTCCACCACAGAAAAAATAAATACATAAAAATGATTTCAAGAACATAGGTAATAACAATATGTTGTAAAATAATCAGGAAGTGATGAATTTTGAGTATTTATTAACTTTGCTTTTAACATAACACATTTAATTATAAACCTACATAATTAAGCAATAGCTAGAATGTGACAACCAGTTCTCAAAATTCCTAAAAATTTAACAACTGTCTCTCCATGAGCTGGTTCAAGACAGGCTCCAACACATCATGGGATCTTAGGCAGGCCAATCACTTAATCTCTCTGAGCTTCAGTGTTCCTCTTTGTAAAATGGGTTAGCAATGTCACTGGCCAATGCCTGGCCACTTAGTAAGTACGAGTAATTATTATCTTGACCCATTATATTATTGTTATATTCCCATTATCCATAGCAAATACTTCATGTAAAATTAGTTTCCCCTGCTCTCAGCACCTCAATGATCACTTTACATTCACCCCTTTGATCTGTGTTCAAAGAATGCACACTAAGCAGACAGTCCACACATGCACACACGCACATGCAACCACTACCAAGCAAAATGTAAAAAGGCTCTGGGTCCCCTCTTGTTTGTATGACAAGCAAAGTCACCAAGAGTTACCAATGTTTCTTTGTGCACACAGGGGCCATCAAAGTGGTAGAACATAGGTTATTGTTGCAATGACTCGGCAGGGTCTTCAGTGTTTCAAAAAGACAGGTGGAGCTCCCTATAGAGAGTGTGTGTGCTCCCATCCAGCCCTCCCCTGCCCATGCCCAACCCTTCCTACCAACAGCAGCTGCTGCAGGTTTCTGCACCTTACCTGCTCAGCCTTCTGGTGGAACACAGCAGACATGGCGAGGATGGTGCTGCGTTCATCCAGGGCAGCAGCGAAGCTCTTCCACTCCTGGTCCAGCTGGGTGGAGATCTGCTTGATTTGTTGTGAGGCATAATGACCGGCCTCAGAGAGGCGGGAAGCCACGGACATGATGCGGTTGATGTTGACATAGGCATTCTGGAAAGAAAAGGAGAGTGCTCAGTGGGGCAGGCTCAAAAGACATCCACTGAGCACTTTCGTGGGGTACATATTTGGGGAAGGGAGCTGCCCAAAACAAAAGTCTGAGAGACGCTGGTACAGTCCATACTAGTGTATTTGTTTTTGGCCCAAGGGAAATCTTTTTCTACAATTCAATTTCAGTAGATAGCAGGGAACTTTCATTGTGGGGAACCAGCATAGATTTTGTGCCAACTATTAATGCACTTTAATGCAGTCACTTTACATGGACTACTTTATGTAATCTTCACAACCATCTTATGAAGTCATTCCCAGGGATGGCACATAACTCTCAAGAGCGTTCTTTGGAAGTGATGGCTCAGACGAGGGCACAAGCTAAAGGAGGCAGAGACATCTCTCTTGCTCAGGGGAGAGCTGTACCCAGGACACTATTGCCATCTACATACAACAAACAGGGCAGAAGTACTCATCAAAGAGGGCAAAGGAGACACAGTAATTCCACATCTTCCTATCACCTAGCAAAGATGTCCCCACCTTCCTCCTACCTCCTTCAGCCCTGCCAAAAGAGCTGAGGCACTGGTCATCAAACAGGGTTTAAATAAAGACAGCATTTGAACCCACACACTTTTCCATGCTAATAATAAGGTCTGTGAAGCCCTTTCTTATCTCTGCTTGATTTAGGAAGATTTCCCCACCTGACCCCAAAAGGCATCTGTGGGTACCCCAAAAGGCATCAAGGAGGGGCTCTCTTGATCCATTGTCTCCTGTCATCTTGTGTTTTGTTTACTTGTTTTGTTTACATTCATTCCCATCTTTACTTGCTAATTAAAAATTCATGAACATGTATGCTGTTTCCTATTAGGTCACTGAAAAATGCTCCAGGAAGGAACGAGACAAAAGAAAAACTCCACAAACATAAGACAGTAGTGATTATGGCTATTTTTAACCGCTATCTCCTATTAGTTGTCTGAGGTGTCAAAACAATCAGGTAAGGTTGTGGCATCCACAGGGAGCTTTTCCGAATCACACAATGTCTGCATGAAGGAGGACCAGGGAGGCAAGTTATTCACACACCTTCGTTATTTGTTACAAATCTTCTCAAATGATTATACATGTTCTGCAGTAACAGCATTTTCTCTAGGTTCTGTTAGCTCAGATGTAGTTCATTAATACTGAGTAGGTTTAATGAAGGTTCTTTATTTTCCTTTCTCACTTCCCTCATGGTCCGCATTCGTCTTAGCTGTCCCTGACCTCTAAGCACACCATCCCAAACCTGGGCCAGGTTGGTAGGGTCTCTCTTAATTTAAAATGTCTCTGTGGAAGTTTAAAAAGTTAAGTGAAGAACTTCCACACAAATCCATCCTGATGTCTAATGACCCCTATGTGTCATCTCTCTTTTTAGTCTGGCCTGAGAGCTTTCTGACATAGTGCATTTCCCTAAGAGAACTAGGACATTACTGATTCTTGTTATGGGAAATAACTATCCCTCAAAGATGTAAGAATCATTCTCAGCCTTGTTTTCTGAGTTAGGACACAAATTCTACTGAAAATTAAACTCTATTTATGGAACTGACAGAAAAACCACTCTGCACTTAGAAATAGAGAGGAAGAATGGGGAGGGGGAAAGCACACACTGATTTCGACAGTTTTATCTTCTATGGGAAGAATAGCATGGGAAGTCCCTCAAATCTCCTGCTCATGTCATTGTCTTACTTTGGGTTCTCCCCAAAGCAGACCTTGAGACAATTATTTGGGAGAGACAGTTTACTTGGGCATGGTCCCAGGAAGCATAGTGAAAGGGAGGGAAATGAATAAAGGATGTGTTAAGTTCTATGAGCAACTGGGGTTCAATCCCTATTGAGACCTTTTGAGAAAGTATAAAACACACCTCTGAGCTGTCCCACTGAGGGGTGAGGAATCTGGGTTACTGATGCACTAAGTCCCATTGATCTTTGGTTGAAGGTCCTTCCTGGGGTAAGTTCCTGGCATTTCCAGCCGAACCCACAAACAGACCAAGCACACTTCTGAGGTCAGAGAGTGATCACCGCCGATAAATGCAGGCAGCTGTCAGTCTGCATGAGAATCACCTGCAGATGACCCCCAGGGCAGGCTGAGGCCATATAGGTGGGACATTGACAGTGTCTGATAGAGCTGTCCTCCCAAACTGGATTCAAATCCTGGAATCCATGCCCCTGCCACCTTACCCAGATCTATCTAGGTTTTTGGGTTTTCCTGTCCTGGAGAAAGGCCTTGTATACTCTGGCCAGATAGAATGCAAGAAAAGCAGTAAGAGCAAGGCACTACCCTGTCCCCAGATATACCCTATAGACACCCAGCCCTTTGTCATCACTGCCTATTACATCCTCCTCCCTCCCATGGCACACAGGGAGGCATATTTCTGCTTACTTTTAGGAAGAACTTTCTAGCTATTAGAGGTGTCCAACTGTGGCTGCCTCTGTAGACTCTTAACACCTTGTCACTCATTCAAATATTTACGGAGAGTGGGCCAGGCTCTGTGTTGGGGGCTGTAGGAGATCAAAGAGGAATAAGATAGGATTCCTGCCCATCCACCCCCTGCCCACAGGGGCTCACAGCTGAGACTTAAGACAAGTCCTCAAATAACGGTAATTTAAGGCAAAATGAAGCAAGTGCTTCCACAGAGGTAGAAGCGACTCCCTGTGGGGATTCAGAGGGAAGGGATCTGAACCACTGGCAGGGCTGTTGGGAAGAGGCTCCCCGCATGAAAAAGGATGGGGAGGCTGGCAGTCCTCCACAGTCCCCTTCAACCTCTAAGCCTGTGATCATAGATTAAAACTAAAAGCAAATAAACAAAAAAAGACCACAGCTTACAGTTCACATTCTAGACTAGCACAGTAAATGCTTTTTTTGTTTCCTTATCAGCAGGCGGAGAAATGTCTTGCTAAAACTAACAAATAATTATGCCTCACAAAAGAAGTAGAGGCAGTATCCCTCATAATAGAGGGATAAATACAATGTTGACTTATGAATTTGCTCATTGTTCTTCTCTATAGCCCCTTTTCAGAATATGAAACACTTCAGGCAAGTCACATCGCTCAAGTTCATCATCTTCTCCTTCATTTTCCTTTGCCCCAGAACCTGAGAGAAATGGGCAGATAGATTCTAAACTGCAGTTGTCCCTAGGTACAACGACAGCCACACAACAAATGAGAAGGGAGTAATGGCAAGGAAGGTCTCCAATGACTTAAAAGGAAAGAATGAGGTTAAAGAGCTGGATTAGGAGTCTGAATAAATAGGAGTGCTTACTCATTAAGCATAAACGACTTTTCATGGCCTTTGGTCAATCCATTTGTGTGGTTCTTCTGGGTGACTGTTTATGCCCCTATTAGGAACATTTGGGAGTTATGTTTGTCCTTGGGACATGGCCAAGAGGAATGGATATTTTGGCTCTTTACAGCTTTCCCATTTCCTACCAGCTGCCCCCTCCACTCTCTTCCATCTGCCTGGCTCTCCCATTCTTCCCTGCCAGCCTTCAATGCCTTTCCATCTGCAGAGCTGCCCATTAGTCAAGGGCATTAAAATCACTGGGCCAGGAATCAAGAGTCATGAGTTTTGGTCCCAGCTCTGGCATTCACTTAAGATATGACTTGACTTCTCTGTGCCTCAGTTTCCTCATCTGTGAGGGAGTCGACCTAATGATCGCAGACATTCCATTTCTGAGTAAGTAATGTCAGTTCCAGGAGACCAGGAGCATAGTGCTGCCTACTCCAGAGGTATATGTAGCCCAGGCCTGCTGTCCATGTCTCAGCACCTCATGCTGGCTCTGCTCACTGCCCAGTAGTGTGAGGACCAAGACTGGAGATGGACCCCTGAGTCCTTCAGCTTCTAGGTGACCAAGGGCCAGAGGCCCTTCTCTCCCTCTCCTCTTTAGCCCCTTCCCCTCATCTGAGATGCTCAGACTAACCAGTTTCCCTGGCCAGAAGGTAATAACTTGACTAATAATTCTAGCTTGATATGTATCTTCTTAAATCCTTTCCTCAAAACTGATTTATTAAATTTAAACCCCCCTATATATGCAGTCTGTTGTTATTAAATTATTATCATTATCCAAAGTATGGCACAGCCCAAGGTATAGACACAATCTACCCTGCAGAAGGCAATGCACCTGCAGCATGGTCCGTTGCATTATCTGCCCCATCTTACCTACGCCCAAAGCCTTTCCTCCCATCATTTTGGTCATAAACAGGAAAAATAACTAAATTCCAACAAAATCTCGATAACTCAAAAACCGTGTATATTGACACCCTGCCCTCACTTTTGTTACCCACAAAATTCTTTTTTTCATCCTGCAGTCCTTAACTGGAGATCACAGGATGGAGAGCCCCTTCTTCTGAGGCCTTGTCCCATGCTGTGATTAACTGAAATCGATGGAGCAGAGTCATTGTCCTGAAAGAACTGCTTGGCAGAATCTTGATCAAAGTTTTCAGCCCTGCCAAAAGGGCTCCCACTTCCAACCTGATTCCTGGCTTACGCCTACCGGCTACAAAAACAAGATAATGATAGCTTTCCATTAAAAACCTTAGCTAAATTTTCTCTTTGTGATTTCTTATGTGGTATACTGAAAGAAATACTGCTTATTCTAGAAATAATCATTTATGCAAGTTATCATTTTGGTAACCTTAAGTTATGTGTCAGGGGCTGATTATAAGAGAAGATCATTGCCAAGAGAAGGTATTATTTGAATCCCATTCATTTCACTCCTAAAAGCTGAGGTGAACTTTACACTTTTGTGGTCATAGGCCCCCACTCTGAATGAGACACATTCTCTGTGGATTACATGAGATAACATAAAGCATCCAGCCAGATGCCTGGCACAAAACCAATAGTGCAAAGAATGTCATATCTTTTCCCTCATTCAGTTCCAGGAGATTGACATTAACTCTAAAAGTTAGGTGTATACCAAATCAAAGTATTAGTAAAAAGTACAACAAAAAGAAAAATCTATCAATGATTCCAACAAGAGGCAAAAAAAGCGAAGTCTCATTGTCTTTCACAGAGAGCACAACACAAGCTTCCTACTATTCCCTACTATAGCTGTTAATGCTGCCCTAGCCACTTACCAGGCTATGCCCCACATGCCACAAACCCTCTGCTGCAGACACTATTTCCCTAGGAGTTAAAGGTCTGGAGCCCAGAATTGTCTATAAGTTTTTCCTTGACCCAGAGAGATCAGAGGATTCAGAATCAGCCAATAAGGTGCTTTCTGAGCCATGCTCTTTCAATACAATGTCCTTCCATACCTTAAGTTGGAGAAATAGGGTCTTTATCTCTTGAGATAGTCTTCTTGGGGTGCCTCAACCACCTTGGCATGTGATAGCCACATCCAGAGCGCTCAGAAGTGGGGCCATCTTGTCCTCATACAAGGAAACAGATCCTTCTCCTTATCACAAACTGTATTACAAAAGGTGAGAGAAGCCTCCTCCCCATGCTGGGTGTTGGGGCTCTTCACTTTGTGGTCTATGGGCAACGTGACTTGTCTTCAGCTCGAGAGAGGCAGAGGAAGCCCATCAAAGAGCTGTTTCATCTCTGCAAAGAACAAGTCCTGAGCACAGGGATCTCAATTCCTTTCCAGTTAATGGGGCTACAGCTTTTTAATCATTACTATGAACATGAAAGGTGTGATCACCTGTCAGATCATCACAGGAGGCAAGGTATAACCACCACTTCGGGGACACTTTCCCTAAAGGGGCCCTGTCCTCTCGACAAGCTCTTGAGACCTTGACTTTCCAAATCAAAAAGTCAAGGGAGGGAGGCCATGCAAACAACCAGCTGAGAGCCACGGTACTCAGCAAAATCACTCAGGTCAAATGAAAATCAAATGCTCAATGAAAAAGCTAATACAAAATATAAACAGTATTGCCTCGACTGAGAAAACGTTATACATACGAGGGAAGCACACCCAAATACTACCAGTTATTGAGTGCTTATTATTATTATTATTATTATTGAGATGGAGTCTCACTCTGTTGCCCAGGCTGGAGTGTAGTAGCACAATCTTGGCTCATTGCAACCTCCACCTCCTGGGTTCAAGCAATTCTCCTGCCTCAGCCTCCTGAGTAGCTGCGATTACAGGCGCATGTCACCATGCCTGGCTAATTTTTTGTATTTTTAGTAGAGACGGGGTTTTGCCATGTTGGCCAGGCTGGTCTCGAACTCCTGACCTCAAGTGATCCGCCTGCCTTGGCTTCCCAAAGTGCTGGGATTACAGGTGTGAGCCACTGCGCCTGGCCTGAATACTTATTTTGTACCAGGTATACATGATGGTGGGAACTTTTCTTTAGGGTCTTTTTCTCATCTCTATTCTCTTATGTATAGAAAAGTTAAAAAAATTTTTGGTATATATATTTTATATATATAATTTATATATAATATAAATAATCAGGGAGAAAAGGGTTATTAAAACTATACAGAGGAGACTCTCCCTCCCCACTGAAGTTAATAATCAAAATATCAGATGTCAAAACACCTGATGGAGCTAGGGAACTTATGTTCAACCTCCTACTTTTATCAATTCACTCTTTTTATTGAGGTGCAAAGGTTGTTGGTTTCTAGTTTCTTTCTTCCCCACTATAAATAATGCTAGGGGTTTATTGGTATTTTTAACTTTAATAGATTTGGTTTTTTAAATTTCCTTTTTCTTATAGATGGAGTCTAGCTATGTTGCTGAGGCTGAACTCCAACTCCTGGGCTCAAGCGATCCTGTCTTCTCAGCCTCCCAAACTACTGGGATTATAGGCATTTGGTATTTTTAATTTTAATTTTAAAAATTATTTTAATATATCTTTAATACATTTAGCTGGGTTGCACTCCATCAAAGTTGAAATTACTCAAATGTCCCCATCTCTTTTGACTTCAGCAAAAAATATATATATTTTTAGTAAAGTACAATTTACATATAGTAGAATAAGCAGGTTTTAATGACCAAAACTGCTTTTCTAAAGACAAGAATACAAAACCACTTTATTTAAAGTTTTTAGAAGCCAAGTTCATGCAACAATCTCATTTTACAGTTAGGAAATAAAAAAAGGAACCCAGCCATTGCTTATATCTACCTAATGTGTGTGATATCAGTCAAGCGACACGTTCAAAGAAAGAGGAAGAATGAGACTAGAGCCCCAGCATCTTGATTTCCTCTCTACACGGCCCCTCTGCTTATTGCTCCCTTTTTCTTGTGCCCTGCAGCTTATATTAACTTAAGTTTTTATTTCCTCAATCTCAAAGCCATGAGGAATAGTATTTGGAGATATTCCAAAACAGTTTTCAGAGACCTTGTGAGTAACATTCAGTATCAGTAAGAAAATAGATTGTGTCAAAGCAATGGAAAAAGCTCAGCCTCATCTCCTTTCTCCAGCTTAATAACACCATATGTATTACTTATATATTTGCCAGTACAAAACTCACTTTGGGTCCTAAAGCTGTTAAATCATTAGTTTATGATTAATTAGTTTAACATTACCATGTAAACCTGCTGATCCCACCTCGAAACATATGGACACTGGGATAGTAACATCTGGAATAAGAACTGTCCATGCTTGAAACTATACTACAATAGCTATGAGATGTGATGAGCTCTAAAGGAAACCTCCAACTTCTGCCTCCCATGAACCACAGGGTGCCCTCTGGGGGGCCAAATGGGGCAGCTGATTGATGACTATCTGATCAGGTCTGGCCAAACAGTAGGCCAAACCATGTGGAGGCCATCTGTCACTGCCGGATGGAGACAGAAAAGGAACAGGAATAGCCCCAGTGCCCAGCAAAGATAACATTGGCTCACGAGTCCTGTCCCTCTGGCCTGGCTTGCCCATAGCAATGTTTCCTCCAGCAATTGCTTTACAAACCATTAAGCAGCCATGAAAACAAGCGCCTGGCCATATGTCCAAAGGCCACAGGAAACCCAGGATCTGGTTTAAGAAAAAAGAGAAGCTCCTCTCTCTCTCTCAGCTCTGAGTAAACCTCCTTGGGCAGGGTAAATGTTTTTGTATGAGGCATCATTGCAAAATTGAAATGGTAGGGAATGATGGGTACAGCTGGAATCAGATTCAGGGGCACCTAGTGAGGCAAGTGATTAGGAAAAATTGCAGCTTTTCTGGGTTAGGATGTAGTAACTTTAGGCTACCTTTAAGGTTGAAATTAGAGCCTCTAAGACTTCCGGGAAATATATTTATCAGCATTTTATCCCCAACTGCCCCCCCAGCCCCCGCCTTTTTTTTTTTTTTTTTTTTTTAATAAGGCCTGGCTACTTAGAGCTTGATCTGTGACACTGGCTTCACCTAGCAGCTTGTTAGAAATACAGTATTTCAGGCCCTTCCCCAACTTTCTGAATCAGAATCTGCATTTTAACAAGATTGTCCCAGGTTATAGGTATGCACATTAATGTTTGAGAATCTCTGCAGTTAGGAGCTGAGGAGCTTCCCCGAACAAGAACTATTTCTTCTAGCACGCCTGATCTTAACAATAGCTGAACATTTGCAAACATAACATCATGCCAAATGTGCTTAAAATGTACAAACACATTTCACCCTTAGGCCATCCCTGACAAAGTCACTGTCATTATCCCCTATTTACAGATGAGGTGGTAAGGTTCTGAAAAATTTAAATAACCTGCCTAGGATCACAGTACTAAGAAGGAAGTACAGAGCTACAGTTAGCACCTACTGCCCCAGCTGTTTTACTTTGCCATAAATGCAATAGCTGGGGCACTTCCCTCTCCCTTGAGGGAAGACGATGAGAAATTTCTACTGAAGATCTAAAAATCACAGCCGAGAGAAAAAGAGCCTCTGGAGAGAGAACTCAGTAAGCGTGTTTTCATCTCTGAAGCTTTCCCATTGGGCCCTTGACGTGCTCTTGGATTTTCCAGAATAGCCTAGCTCCGGAATGGGCAGGAGCCTGGTAGGTGGAATTCTCTTGCCCCCTCCTGCCTTGGAGCAATAATCTCTACCTGTAAATCTGAAGCCAGCTGCCCTGAGGAACAGGTCATTTTCTCCATAGAACCGCAAGAAAGTTCAAGATTAAGGCAACTCTTTGCTTTCATCAATATCTTGCCTTATAGCTGGAGTCTTAAATATGTCATCCTATATGTTTATTCATCCATTGATTAATTCAACAATACAAGACATTGTACAAGCAAGGTACAAGACAGACAAAATTCCTATGTTCTCAGAGTTTACCTTTTAGTAGAAGAGTCAGACAATAAATTAATAAATATTTACTATATCTTTATTTCAGTGTTACATAAAATATGCCTGGGAAAAGGATAGCACGTGATGGGGCTGGAGAGTGCTACATAAAATAGAGAAGCCGGGGCAGGGTGACCCCTGAGCTTGACCCTGAATGAAGTAAGAAGGTGAGCCATGTGGCTATCTGCAGAAAGAGGAGCAGCAGGGGCAAAGGCCGTGAGGCAGGAATGTCTTTGGTGGGTCAAGAAACAGCAAGAATCCCAGGATGACCGGGACAAATGACAAGTTGTAGAGGCTGAGATGTGAAAAGTAAGTGGAGTTCAGTCTATTGGATCCCAGTAAGCCATGGTAAGGGACTTCGGCTTTCATTATGAGGAAAGGAAGACATGAAGGTATTTTAAGCAGAGTGGCAAGATGTAACGGACCTCACCTTTAGGCAGGATCACTCAGGCTGTGGGTCGAGAATGGACTGCTGGGGAGCAAAGGTGGAGGCAGAGAGACCAGGTAGGAGCTACTACAGCAGTCCAGGCAGGAGCTGATGTCAGCTTGGATCAAGGGGGTAACCATGGAGGCGGCAATAAGAGGCCAGATTCTGGATATATTTTGAGATTAGAGCTGAAAGGACTTGCAGAAGACAGTCCTTTAGCTTTTCCTCATTTCCGGGCCTCTGGTTGTGTAAGGAACTGTGACTTCTGCTTTTTGTGCTGCTCCCTTCTCATCCGCCCGTCTCGTCCTGACCTCTCACACCTCTTCAGTTTCCTGACTTGCAAACGTCTCACCTGTAATGTCTGTAATCAGTCTCTGTCCTTCATCTGGTACTCCTAGCTGGCTACCATGCTGTCCCCAAATGGCACTGTCACTGATTATTATCGACACTTCATATTTGTGTTCTGCTTTACAGTTCAAGACTTCTCATGTGCATATCTCATCTGACATACTAGGTTTCACTGACCATTTCATGCCTTTCATTCAACTCCAGGAGACCACAAAGAAAGGCATAAGTCAGCTTTGGCTGAATTTCGGACAAATTAACTGCTTAGCAAATGCAGACCTGACGGAGAACAAGTAGTGGCCATAGATGAGTATGTGTAAGTGGGTGGGTCAACTGAGCTACAGGTCTCGGGGGCAAACACCGAGAGGATACAGCAAATAGCCTGGGTTATGGAACATGCTGACAAAGGACCTGAGAGAGCAGTGGACGGAAGCCAGAAAAGAAGGTCCCAGGATCGTGGGTAGAGAACCAGCAGTGAGGGAGAAAAGGAGGGAGATCTGGGGTCTGAAGGGGATAAGCAATAAAGAGAGATGGTTGAGCCAGGCAGTGCCAACCATGAGTCAGAAACCTGAGTCATCAGCCAAGTCCTGCTGGTCAGCTCAGAGGAGCCTTGCAGAAGGGACCCAGGCCATGTGTGCACTAGAGCAAAACTGAGAAGGCTGCCTAAACCAAGGAGCTTCCCTGTGCTTCCTGTTTGAATAGGAACCAATCCCCAAACATGGCTGATTAGAGTTAGGGCGTAAAAGCAAATGGGACATCTGGAAAGGTTGGGATGGGGAGCAAGGAGTAGGGATTAAAACACAGGCACTCTTTCTCCCTGAAGACTCTTGAGGTCGGAGAAATGTCCTCATCTTCTCCTGTAGTTTAGATACTTGACTCTCCAAACCTCATGTTGAAATGTGATCTCCAATGTTGGAGGTAGGGCCTAGTGGGACTTGTTTGGGTCAGGGGGACAGATCCCTTATGAATAGCTCCTCCTCAAGGTAATGAGTGTGTTCTCACTCTGTTAGTTCCCACAAAAGCTGGTTGTTAAAAGAACCTGGGCTGGGCATGGTGGCTCACATCTGTAATTCCAACACTTTGGGAGGCCAAGGTGGATCACTTGAGGCCAGGAGTTTGAGACCAACCTGGGCAACATAGTGAGACCCTGTATCTACAAAAAATTAAAAAATTAGCCAGCATGGTGGCATACACCTGTAGTCCAGCTACTTGAGAGGCTGAGGCAGGAGGACTGCTTGAGCCCTGGAGGTTGAGGCTGCAGTGAGCCACAATCCTGCCACTGCATGCCAGCCTAGGAGACAGAACCAGATCCTTTCTCTCGTGCCATGTGACCTCTACATGCCAGTGTCTTTCATCTTCCTGTATGAGTGGAAGAAATCTAAGGCCCTCACCAGAAGCAGATGCTGGCACCATGCTCCTTGTATGACCTGTAGAACTGTGAGCCAGACAAACCTCTTTATAAATTACCCAGATTCAGGTATTCTTTTTTTTTAAATATACTTTAAGTTCCAGGGTATATGTGCACAACGTGTGGGTTTGTTACATATGTATACATGTTCCATGTTGGTGTGCTGTACCCATTAACTCGTCCTTTACATTAGGTATATCTCCTAATGCTATCCCTCCCCCCTCCCCCCACCCCACAACAGGCCCCGGTATGTGATGTTCCCCAACCTATGTCCAAGTGTTCTCATTGTTCAATTCCCACCTATGAATAAGAACATGCGGTGTTTGGTTTTCTGTCCTTGCGATAGTTTGCTCAGAATGATGGTTTCCAGCTTCAACCATGTCCCTATAAAGGACATGAACTCATCCTTTTTTATGGCCGCCTAGTATTCCATGGTGTATATGTGCCACATTTTCTTAATCCAGTCTATCATTGATGGACATTTGGGTTAGTTCCAAGTCTTTGCTATGGTGAATAGTGCCGCAATAAACATACGTGTGCATGTGTCTTTATAGCAGCATGATTTATAATCCTTTGGGTATTCTAGTTCAACCATTGTGGAAGACAGGGTGGCGATTCCTCAAGGATCTAGAACTAGAAATACCATTTGACCCAGCCATCCTATGACTCAGGTATTCTCTTATAGCAACACAAATGAACTGACACCCTCCAAGTCCACAGGCTAATTATTTGATAACTTTAGAGTTTGACCTCAGGGCTAATGTCAATTGGCTTATTTCCTTCACCCTGAACCAGTAGTGATTTTCAACTTGGTTCTCAGCCTGGTACAGATTTCCTGAGTCACCACAGTACGGTTAAATCAGAATCTAGAGTGGAACCCATATGTGGTATTTTGGGCATTTTTAAAAAGCTTCCCAGGTGACTCCAGCGGGCAGTCAGAGTGCAGGACTGCTGCCTTAGAGACAAGCACTAGCTTCACCAGAGTTGAATTCAAAGCACACCCTTCTCTCCTTTGGGTCTAGTTTAATGCTGACAATGGTGCCAAGAGCAAGGGTCATAAATTAATCCTGAGCAGATCAGAAAATAAAATCTAATGCTCCTACTGAGTCAGAAGAAAAGGGAAGTTCCATCCACCAGGCTGTCTGTGGAGATACAAACACTGTATCCTGTTCAACTTGATTGATAAGAACAGGTCTGGCTGGGTATACATGCAGTACTTTGCAATCACAGGTTCCCTAAAGGCCTGCCTTAGGAACTGCAGTGTTAACAGCGACCACTGGATCATATTTATTTTTGTCAGGGGGTGGGGGTTTGCTTTTTAGTGGCTTTGCTTCTGTCTTTAGGATGAGAATCCCAGAAACAAAGATGTTTGGGATCAGTGGAACTTGAAAGATCATGCAGTCTGGTAGTTCCTGGATGTTAGTGTGTATCGCCTGGGGACACTGTAAGCATGTCCATCCCTGAAGAAAATCAGTGCTCTCATTCACCTTCTAATTGGTGGTTGTTCAGCTTCTGCTGGAGCCATGCCTTATTGGGCTCCCTCAAAAATAAAGGCCCTACCTTCCTAGCTCTGCATCCTTGATGCTCAAATAGTGTTCAGGGTTGGTGACAGACACTGTGAAATGCTTAACATCATAGTTCATTCAACAAGCGTTTATTTAGGCACCTACTAACTGCCAGGCATTGTTATAATTTCTGCAGATACAGCTGTGAATAAAACAGACAAAGCTCTGCCTTTAGGAGTTTATACTCTAGTGGGCAAAATTCTCTTTGCGTTAGGTACATGAATTTGGGAATGACTAAATTTCAAGCTCCTTGAAGATAGCTTTGTGTCTCATGAACCTTGCTGTTCTCAGTGTTTAGTAAAAGACACAGACAGCAAAAGTTTGTTGAATGCACAAATGAGTGAATACTGTGTGGTACACACAGATCCTCTTACTTCAGCTTCCCTAACACCACCAGTGTTGGTGTCCACACTCTGTCATGGCCATTCCCTTTAATGTTTAGGAAGGTTATATTTTCAAGCAAGTAAAGACCCACTTGCAAAATACTCACTCTTCAGTTGTCTTCTTTTCTTTTTTTTCAACATACCATACAATTTGTCCATTTAAAGTGTATAATTCAGACTGGGCGCAGTGGCTCACACCTGTGATCCCAGCATTTTGGGAGGCCAAGGCAGGTGGATCATCTGAGGTCAGGAGTTCAAGACCAGCCTGGCCAACATGGCGAAACCCCATCTCTACTAAAAATACAAAAATTAGCCGGGCATGGTGGCGGGTGCCTGTAATCCCAACTACTCAGGAGGCTGAGGCATAAGAATCACTTGAACCCGGGAGGCAGAGGTTGCAGTGAGCCGAGATCGCCCCACTGCATTCTGGCCTGGGCAACAAGAGTGAAATTCTGTCTAAATGAAATGAAATGAAATGGAATGAAATAAAATAAAAAGTGCATAATTCAATGGTTTTTAGTATATTAGTATTTAGTATATAGATATGTACAACCAACATCACAATCAATTTTAGAACATTTTCATTGTCTCAAAAAGAAACTCTGTACCTATTAGATATAACTCTCTTATACCCCTTCCATTCTAACTCTAAGCAACAACTAATCTACTTTCTTCTTTAAAGGTTTGCCTATTCTGGACTTTTCAAATAAATGAAACCAAATAATAAGTGGTATTTGGTTACTAGCTTCTTTCACTTAGCAAAATGTTTTCAAGGTCCATCCATGTTGTAACACATGTCAGCATGTCATTCCTTTTTATGGCCAAATAAATATAAGTCCATTATATGAAGATACTACATTTTGTCTATCCATTCATCAGTTTATGGAAACTTGGGTAGTTTCCACCTTTTGATTATTATACATAATGTTGCTGCAAACATTTGTGTACAATGTATGGACATTTTATGTAGACATATGTTTACATTTCTCTTGAGTATATACC